>NC_000009.12:100190248-100341764 GCF_000001405.40 Homo sapiens
TTTACCTTGAGTCTGTAAGAATCTTTACATGTTAAGTGAGTCTCTTGAATACAGCAGATATTTGGTTTGTAATTTTTCAACCATTCTGTCAGTGGAGGATATAGACCATTTACATTTAACGTTAATATTGAGATGTGAAGTACTATTTCAGTCATCATTGTTGACTGTTAACCTACTTTGTTTTCTTCATGTGTTATTGTTTTATAGGCTCTGAGTTTTATGCTTTCAAGATGTTCTATTCTGGTGCATATTGACCTTTTGTTTCAAGATTTAGAGCTCCTTTTAGTATTTCTTGTAGAGCTGGTCTAGTAGTGACAAATTCTCTCAGTATTTGCTCATCCGAAAAAAAACTTTTTTTCTCCTTCATTTATGAAACTTAGTTTTGCTGGATACAAAATTCTTGGCTGACAATTATTCTGTTGAAGGAGGCTAAAGATAGGACCCTAATCCTTTCTGGCTTGTAAAGTTTCTGCTGAGAAGGCTGTTGTTGGTCTAATAAGTTTTCCTTTATAGGTTACCTGATGCTTTTGTCTTACTGCTCTTAGAATTCTTTCCTTCATGTTGATTTTAGATACCCTGATAATTATATGCCTTGGTGATGTCCTTTTTGTTTTCTTTTTTTTTTCTTCTGAGACAGAGTCTCACTCTGTTACCCAGGCTGGAATGCAGTGGCATGATCATGGCTCACTGCAGCCTTGACCTCCTGGGCTCAAGCAATCCTCCCACCTTAGCCTCCTGAGTAGCTGGGACTATAGGCATATGCCACCACATCAGGCTAATTTTTTAATTTTTTATAGAGATGGGTTCTCTCTATGTTGCCCAAGCTGGTCTCAAACTCCTGGTCTCAAGTAGTCCTCCCACCTCGGCCTCCCGAAGTGGTATTACAGGCATTAGCTACTGGGTCCAGCTGGTGATATCCTTTTTGTAATGAATCTCCCAGGAGTTCTTTCAGTTTCTCGTGTTTGGTTATCTAAATCTCTAGCAAGGTCAGGGAAGTTCTCCTTAATTATTCCCTCAGATAAGTTTTCCAAATTTTTTGTTTGTCTTCTCCCTCAGGAACACTAGTGATTCTTTGGTTTGGCAATTTTACATAATCCCATATGTTTTGGAGACTTTATTCATTTCTTTTAATTATATTTTCTTTACTCTTGTCTGATTGGGTTAATTCAAAAGCTTTGTCTCCAAGCTCTGAAATTTTTCTTCTACTAGTTCTAGTCTATTGTTAAAACTTTCCTGTGCATTTTTTAATTCTCTAAATGTGTCTTTCATTTTCAAAAGTTCTGATTGGTTTTTCTTTAAAATATCCATCTCTAGAAAATTTATCACTCATATCCTGAATTATTTTTTTAACTTCACTATGTTGGTTTTCACCTTTCTCTTGCATCTCCTTGAGTAGCTTAACAATCAACCTTTTGGGTTCTTTATCTGGTATTTCAAAGATTTCATCTTGGTTTGGATCCATTGCTGGAGAGTTAGTGTGATCTTTTGTGGGTACTGTAGAACCCTGTTTTGTCATATTGTCAGAATTATTTTTCTGGTTCCTTCTCACTTGGGTAGACTATTTCTTCTAGTATTTTTGAATTTATTTTTCATTCAACTGTGTTTTTTAATTTTTTTATTCCCCCTTAAGGATGTAACTTTAATGTTTACAGTTTATTATAGCCCAATTTGGCTCTTGATGATTTCCGGTGTGAAGACTCTGAGTTCCTTGGTTATAGAGAATCTTTGTCTGATGGCTTTCTCAGATGCTGTTTGTAGTAGCAAGGTGCTTGGTGTGTGAGCAGGTTCACTGTCTTAAGTTTTCCATCTGGCTCACAGGGTAGACCGCAGCCCACCATTTCTTTCAGAGGGTCTGTGATTTCTGTCAGTTTTCCTGTTAAGTTCCTGTGTTGCTTCTTGAACAAAAGTTCACAGTATGACTCTCTACACACTCTTTTGTCTTTCCAAGTAGGGGAGGCATGCTAACAATGCTTTCAGTCCACCATCTTGGGGAAAAAAGAGTGTGTGTGTGTGTGTGTGTGTGTGTGTGTGTGTGTAAATGGAATAATGCAGTATGTATTCTTCTGTGTCTAGGATCTTTCACTCAATATTTTTGAGATTTATCCATATTGTTGCACATATCATAGCTTATTCTTTCTCTGTTGCTGAATTATATTCTGTTGCACAAATATATCATAATTTGTTTATACATTCATGGGATGATGGACATTTGGGTTGGTTACAGTCTTTAGCTATTATGAGAGAATCTTATGAATAAACTGAAAAAATTAACACTCTTGTACAAGTCTTTTTGTGGACATTTGTACTCATCAAATAAATACCTAAAAGTGCAATGATCTTTAATAGTGCCTGCATATTTTTTGCTTTAGTAGATACTGCCTAATGGTTTTCCAAAATGTTGCTACCACTTTACACTCTGACCAACAACACAGTATGTGAGAGTTTCAGATGCCATATATCTTGGGCAATATTTCGTTTTGTCAGTCCTTTTACTTTGAGCATTTCTAGTGTGTTTCTCATTTTTGTTTTAATTTGCATTTACCTAATGACTGATGAAGTTGAGTAATTTTCATATGCTTAATAATAATTTATATATTTTCTTTTGTGAAGTTGTGTGCTCAAGTCCTTTACCCATTTTTTTCTGTATTATTTTTAGATGCTACTACAATAAGACACTAACCAAAGTTTTTAAATAAGATTTCAGATTAGATTACCTATGATACCAATGTCTTTTTTTTTTTTTTTTCTGATACAGGATTTTACTCTGTCACCCACACTGAAGTGCAGTGGTAGAAGCATAGCTCACTGCAGCCTTGAACTCCTGAGTTAAGCATTCCTCCCACCTCAGCCTCCTGAGTAGCTGGTACTACAGGCATGTGCCACCATACCCAGCTAATTTTTAAAATTTTTTTGTAGAGATGGGGTGTCGCTATGTTGCCCAGGCTGGTCTTATACTGCTGGCCATGAACAATTCTCCCACCTTGGCTGCCCAAAGTGCTGGGATTACATGCATCAGTCATTGCGCCCAGTCAGCAATATATTTTGATTGATTTTTTAAATCTCTTTTGCACAGATTCTTTATAAAAATTTTGCAAAAATATACATAACATGAAATTTGCCATTTTAACCATTTTTGAGTATACTATTCAGTGGCATTAAGCACATTCACAGCATTGTGCCACCATCCCCACTATTCCTTCTGCGTATTTAGTATTTTCTTGAATGTAATTGATATGTAACAAATTACATATATCTCAGATGTGTAATTTGATAAGTTGTACCATATTTACACATCTTCAAAAGTTTCCTCATGACCATTTGTTATCCTTTCTTCAAACCACTCTCTGCCTCCACCCTCCCTCCCCAAGCAACCAGTGATCTGTTTTCTGTCACAACAGATTGATTTGCATTTTCAAGAATTTTATGTAAGTGAAATCATATAAAACTATTCTTTTTGCCTAGCTTCTTTCACTCAGTATAATTATTTTGAAATTCATTCATGTTATTATTGCATATACCAATGATTTATATATTATCATTGTTCAGTATTATTCTATTGTATGGATATATTACAAATTGTTCTCAAGCTCCTGGTCTCAAGTGATCCTCCTGACTCAGCCTCCTAAAGTGCTGGGATTGCAGGCATGAACAAGGTAAAAGTTTCAAGTTTACAGGCGTAAGCAACAGCACCTAGCCTTGGATACACTACAGATTGTTTAACCATTTGCCTGTTGGTGAACATTTGGGTTGTTTTCTGTTTTGGGCTATTACTAATGAAGATGGTAAGAACATTCATCTGTAAGCATATGCTTTCATTTCTCTTGGGTAAATCATTATAAATGTAATGGCTGGGTCATATAGCAGGTGTACGTTTAACTTTTAAGAAAATGGTGAACAGTTTTCCAAAGTGCTTGTACTATTTTACTTTCCCACTGATAGTGAATGAAAGTTCTATTTCCTCCATACCCTCACTTTCTTATGAGGATACTTTGTATAGTCAGTCTTTTTCATTTGAGCCATTCTAAATAAAGCCATTTATTCCATTTAGGTTTGTAGTGGTATTAATTTGCATTTCTCTAATGACAAATGATGCTGAGATCTTTTCGTGTGCTTGTCATTTGTAGGTCTTTGATCTTTTTGCATTGATCTTGTTTCTGCAAACTTGCTAAAGTTCTTCATTCATTCTATTAGTCGTTTCATAGATTTTTTAGTCTCCTACATAAACAATCGTCTTATATATAAATTAAAATGAGGGTTTTTTTTTTCAAATCTTTATGCCCTTCTTTCCTCCCTTCTTTCCTTTCTTCCTTCTTTTCTTTTTTTCAGCCTTATTTAACTGGCTAACACCTCCATTACAAATTTAAATAGAAGTGATTAGAGTAGACATCCTTGCCTTATTTCTGATCTTAGGAAGAAAGCATGTAGTATTTCACCACTAAACATGAAATTAACTTCAATTTTTAAAAGATGTCCTTGAGCTAAAGAATACAGGAATAACAAATGTAGGGGGAAGCTACTACCTCTGAGGCTTAGGGAGAGTATCCAAGGGAGGAGCAAACTTGGAAGCTGAGATTCAGGCCTGGTAGGAATGAGTGTGGCTGTGCCCCTGGTTGGTGAAGTTCACTGGAATGCCAAGGGCCAGAGCTAGAGAGCTGGGGCTGATGAGCAGAAAGTTGCCCACTGGGGTAGTGGTGAAACTTACTGGAATGTGAGACCCACTGAGTCTCCTATAGACCTCCGACATCTGCATCATAGGAGCAAAAAGAGCACATTGGAACCAGTGTGAAGAGCCCCTTCCTCTGCTATTATTTGTAGTGTCCCTGCTGCGCCTGCTACAGATAAAGTCAAATATTGTGGCAACTGCAAAGGAGAAATTTTCACAGGGTCTAGTCTCACAAAACATGGTAAAGAAGCTGATTTGGAGCTGAGAGGCAAAAAACTGATAAATGATACACTGATTGAGGAAACTTTCTTTTGATTCTAGTTCGCTGAGAATTTAAACCAAGAGTTGGTGTTGAATATTGTCAAATGCCTTTTCTACATCTATTGGAATTATCATATAGTTGTTGTTCTTTATTTATTTTGCTCATTATATCAATTGTTTAAAAAAATATATAGAGATGGAGTCTCACTGTGTTGCCCAGGCTACACTTGAACTCCTAGGCTCAAGCAATACTCCCACCTCAGCCTCTCGAGTAGCTGGGACTACAGGCACACACCCCACCACACGCAACACATCAATTGATTTTTTTTTTTGAGACGGGAGTCTCGCTTTGTTGCTCAAGCTGGAGTGCAGTGATGTGATCTCGGCTCACTGCAGCCTCCACCTTCCAGGTTCAAGCAATTCTCCTGGCTCAGCCTCCTGAGTAGTTGGGACTACAGCTCCGCACCACCACACCTGGCTAATTTTTGTATTTTTAGTAGATACAGCATTCCACCATGTTGGCCAGGCTAGTCTCGAACTCCTAACCTCAAGTGATCTGCCCTCCTTGGCCTCCCAAAATGCTGGGATTACAGGCGTGAGCCACCACACCTGGCCACATCAATTGATTTTAAAATGTGAAACCAACCTTGCACTTCTGGGATTAAGTCCTACTTTTTATGTATTGCTCAATTTAATTTGCTAATACATTAAGGATTTTTGCAACAGTGTTAAAAGGAATATTGGTCTATAGTTTAGTTGTTTTTTTTCTTCTTATAATGTCTTTGTCAGGTTTTCCTATCAGGATTTGCAGACTTCATAAAATAAGCTGGGAAACTGTCTTATCTTCTTCTATTATTTATAAAGTTGAGTAAGACTGGTAAGATTGGAATTATTTATTTCTTAACTTTTTTGTAGAATTTACCAGTGAAACCATCTAGTCTTGCTGGAGTTTTTTCTTTTCGATTTGGTAGGAAGGTGTTTTGGCAACAAACCTACTTTCTTTTATAGATTTAGACTTTTCAGATTTTATTTCTTCTTACCTCCATTTTAGTATGCTGTCTTTTTCAATGATTTCTCCAAGGCCCCTCAGGAAGAAATTTAGAACAAAAAGTGATGGTCAGAATTCAGTCCTCAATTCTCCTTTGTCTGAGGCCTGTGTGATAGCTGTTGGCATTTTTCGTCTGGTGGGAGTTTCTGATAAACAACTCAAGAACATATGTTAAGATGTTATCTTTTAGTTTCCATGGGACATCAGAATACCTTGTGACTCTGGCTTGCTTCGGAAACTGTTTTTACTACCTTCTTGCTTATCAGGTTGCTCATTTACTTTTCAAGGCTAGCTGGGTGCCTGGACTTTCCCTTGAAGGGACTCAAAATGGTTCCTTTATTTCCATGCTGAGGGGGGCCCAGCAGGTCCCTGAAAGGGGTCGCTGTTCTATCTCAATCTTTTTCTAGCTTCTTATGCTGGAATCTTAGGTCAATGATTTTATATAATCATTATTATGATAAAATTATTATAAAATATTATATATAATATATAAATATATTATTTATAATTACCTAATTGTATACATAGTTTTCTTAAATACATATAATTATTTAAGCCTGTGAAATTTTCCTAACCACTGCTTTAGCTGCAACTCACAAGTTTTGCTATGTTGCATTTTCTTCAAGTTTGAAATTCTGAGGGGAGAAAACACACTTCACCTGTTTGGGTTTTTTTCTGCTCTCTCACTCGACACAAAATCAACACAGAAGACTTCAGTGACCAAATATATGGAGACCTCTCCACCAGCAAGCAAGCAGTCAGTTCTGTAGCAGACACCCAGCTGGATATCCCCTAATTCAATTCTAACACTATCTACCCAGAGATGGTATCAGATACCACAGATTGAAGTCTCAGTGTCCAGACTGCCTCATGCTTCAGACACCAGTTACAAGTCAAGGCCCCCTGAACTTCTGACCAAACCAGCTTCAAGTTGGGGTTCCTACAACTCCCTGTCTAGTTTCAATTACTTTGCTAGAGTGGCTCACATAACTCAGGGAAACATGTTTACTAGTTTATTACAAAGGATATATTAAAAGATACAAATAAACAGCTGGTTGAAGAGATACATGGTCTGGGTACCATAGCTCATGCCTACAATCCCAGCACTTTGGGAGGTTGAGGCGAGAGGATCCCTTGATCCCAGGAGTTCAAGACCAGCCTGGGCAACATTGCAAAACACTGACTCTATCAAAATAAATAAATAAAATAGAAAAAAGAAAAGATAAGCTGCATAATGCAAGGTATAGAAGGGTCCCAAGCACAGGAGCTTCTGTCTCTGTGGAGTGGGGTGCACCACCCTCCCAGCATATGGATGAATTTCTTGTTCACCTTCCTATAAGCCTCCACATATTCAGCTATCCTGTACCCCATCCTTTTGGGCCTTTTATGGAGACTTCATTGGATAGGCATGATTAACAACCATGTAGAAATGTGATTGGGCCAAAAAGGTGTGATCTAATTGTAATAGATTGAGGGGGAAACCCATTAAGGCCTGTCTGTTCAGATTCATCTTGGCCTCTCTGCAGCATTCCTTCCTCCAGGGTATGGGGCAAAGCTCTTTTGAAACAGAGGTCTTGTAACCTACAGTCAGACAAGGTAGGTCAGAGAATTTCTTTATGGCCAGAGGCAGAGGAAGAGTAGAGTATATTTTTAGTTTCTAAGGGCCTGCCTTGGGGAGAAAAAGGATCAGGTGAAAGGAAAGCAGAAGGTCAGAGAGAGAGATTGTTTTCTGAGGCCTGTTTCTGAGGCCTAAAGCACCCAACATTTTAACAAAAGACTGTAACTAGGTCTGTGGGAGTTAAGAGCCAGAAACCGTGGACAAAAATCTATGTCTATATCTATATCACTGTCAAAATCAGATAATTAAAATTTATACAACATTATCCTCAGACCCTATTATTATCCCAATAATATCCTTAGGTATTAAGTTCAGAATCACACATTGCCTTTGTCAAACCTATTTAGTGTCCTTCAATCTAGAAAAGTTTCTTAATCTTTCCTCAACTTTAATGGTGTTGACACATTTGAAGATTGAGGGCTAGAATTTTTTTTTTTTTTTTTTTTTTTTTTTTTTTTTTTTTTTTTTTTTTTTTTTGGAGACAGTTTCACTCTTCTTGTGCAGGCTGGAGTGCAACGGTGCGATCTTGGCTCACCGCAACCTCTGTCTCCCGAGTTCAAGCGATTCTCCTGCCTCCAAAGTAGCTGGGATTACAGGCATGCACCACCAGGTCCCGCTAATTTTGTATTTGTAATAGAGACGGGGTTTCTCCATGTTGGTCAGGCTGGTCTCGAACTCCTGACTTCAGGTGATCCGCCCTCCTCAGCCTCCCAAAGTACTGGGATTACAGACATGAAGATGTGAGCCACCGTCGCCTGGCATTTTTTTTTTTGGAGACAGACTCTTGCTCTGTCGCCAGGCTGGAGTGCAGTGGCATGATCTCGGCTCACTGCAACCTCCATCTCTGGGGTTCAAGCAATTCTTCTGCCTCAGCCTCCCGTGTAGCTGGGACTACGGGCATGCACCACCACGCCTAGCTAATTTTTGTATTTTTAATAGAGACAGGGTTTCACCATGTTGGCCAGGATGGTCTCAATCTCCTGAACTCATGATCCGCCTGCCTCAGCCTCCCAAAGTGCTGGGATTACAGGTGTGAGCCACCATGCCTGGCCCTGGCTACATATTTTATATAATGTCCCTCAATTTGGGTTTGTTAGGTATCTTCTCATGATTAGATTTGTGTTGTCCACATTCGCAGAGACGTCATAGGAGTAATGCTGTGTTCTTCCTATTGAATCCTATTATGTGTCACAAAATTTTGATGTTTTTCATCACTAATTACATTCACTTGCTCACTTAATTAAGGTACTTGTAGGCTTTTTATCTTTATAATCAGTAAATATTTTGAGGGACAGTACTTTGAAACTATGTAAATGTCTTATTGTTTACTTTATCTGCTACTAATGTAGCCACTCCAACTTTCTTATCACTCATTTCAGGCAAATGTTTTTCTATTATTACTTTCAACCTATCTGTGTCTTTATATTTAAAGTGTATCTCTTGTAGACAACATAAGCATCTCTTATAGACTTTCTTTTTTATCTAGTCTGACAATATCTGCATTTTAATTGAAACATTAGTCCATTTACATTTAATGAATTCTTGATATGGTTGATTTTAAGTTTTTCATCTTATTATTTTTATTTTGAGCCATCTGTTATTGCTCCTTTCAATCTGTTTTCTTTTTCTCTTTTGCATTAATCAAATTTTTAATTTTTCATTTTAGTTCTTCAATTGGCTCTTTACCTATACCTATGTATTATTTTTAAGAGGTTGCTTTAGGGTTTACAGTATGCATCTTTCACTTACCGCATTGGAATATTATACTATGCCTCAGAAAACTTAACTATATCATTTTATTGTTTTCTGGTAGCCATCGGTTCCGATGAGAAGTACACCATCATCCCTGTTGTTCCTATGTGTATAATGGTGGTGGTTGTTTTTCTGACTTCTTTCAGTGTTTTCTTTTTTAGCTTTGGTTTTCAATAGTTTCCCTATCATGTGCATAGAGGTAGTTTTCTTTATATTAACCATGCTTTGGATTCACTGAGTTTCTTGGATATAAAAGTTGATATTTTTACCAAATTTAAATCATTTCTCAAATACTGTTATCTGTTCCATTCTCTCTTCTTCTGTGACACCAATTACACATAACATTAGACTTTTCTATATTGTCCTACAGGTCATTGAGGTTCTATTGATTTTTGAAACATTTTTTCCTTGTCTTCAAATTTAATTATTTCTGTTGATCTAAACTGAAATTTATTGGCTTGTTCTTCTATTTTTTAGTCTACTATTAAGTCCATGCTATGATTTTTACATTTCAGATATAGTACTTTCCAATTCTGGAACTTCCAATTGTTTCTTTTTATGTAATTTTTCTCTGCTGAGATTCCCTCATTTGTTTGGTAATTATGACCATCTTTTTCTGTTAAGTCTTTGACCATATTTATAAAGCTATTGTAAATTCCTTGTGTGCTAATTCCAACATCTGGGTTATCTTAAGATATCTTTATTTTGGTTTTTTTCTCTTGAAATTGAGTCCTGTTTTTCTGTTTGTTTGCATATGGAGTAATTTTTTATAGCATACTCAGAATTGTGGATGATACCTTGTAGGGACTCTTGATTCTGTTATCTTCCTCTAAAGAATGTTGACTTTTTGTTTTGTAAAAGTTAAAGCTGACTAATTACACTGAACTTGTTGAGTGTCTCGGTTTTTCCCTTAGTCTAGTTGAATCTATTAGACCAGGTCCACAGTCCTGGTACATAGTCTATACTTTTAAGGCATGGCCCTTCTGAGATTTCAGTGGGAAGTCTGAAATATGTACTAAGACCTCTAACTAAGTGGAACTCAAACTCCAAATTCTACCCCTATGCCTTGGGTAGTAGCTGAAATCTCTGATCAGCTTTTCAACTTTCCTTTTGTGGGTTTCTGCAGACATCTTGGAGTCTCCCATACATTGTCAATTCAGGGATCAGCCAAGGATTTTAAGGGAGTCTATATGCATATATGGGGCTTCCCCTTTTTGGCTCTTTTACCCATCTCTTTTATTCCATCATTTTAATCTTATTTACCACATCTAATGTCTAACCAACTGAAGTAGCCTACCAATCTTCCTGATTCAAGTCTTTCCCCTCTTTAAACCATTCTTCACACTGCGGCCAGATTTCATTCACTCATTTACTCATGTAACAAATAGTCAATGAGCACTTTCCTAAAAGACAATACTGTCAAGCAGTCAAGCTACTGCAGCTGCTAGGCTGGCTTGCCACATAGATTCAGCTGTTAAAAAGACCATAAGTCCAAATTGATTTAGACAGTTTATTGCTTATGGCACAGCAGGTAGCATGAGCTTCATGTCTGCATTGGTTCTCCTTGCCCCCAAGTCCCATAAGGGTGGTATGGAGGCAGGTCCACGTAGATGCTGCAAAGGCAGAGGGTCAGTGTCACACCTGAGGAAACTTGAACTTTAAAAACCTCCAATCTTACATCAAGGCTGTGAGCAAACCTGCCTATCCTTTGCCACCAAATGAAACATTATCTTTATTATCCTGGTTAGCAAACAAATCTGTCCTCTAACCTGAAGGGAGGTACCATTTTTAGCTTCCAAAGCAACTAGTTATGCAGACGTCTTTGAAAAGATAGTCCAAATTACCAGATATGCAGAAACATGATGGACAATTGCTTCCAAACAAGTACAAGGAGAAAGCAAACCACTTAGGTCAAGTTTTGAGAATGATTTCAGAGATATCAGAAATGTGTCCATCTGCTCCCCAACCCCAGTTATCATTCTCCTTTCCATCTGCAAAGATAAAAGAATCTCAACCACTTGCTAATTATAGACATAAATTTCCACAAAAGGTTTTAAATATTTCATCCCACAACAAGATATAAGACTGGAAGCCAGAATTACCTTGGAAGTGTTGGGCTAGCACTCCTTTACACTAAACTGGAAAGGTATAGTCTGCAAAAGCAGGCATTACCTGTTTATAATTAGCAATTTATGTATACTTTAAACAGCTATCCAAAGGAATTGAGTTAGGTTTAATCAGAAGAGTAAGAGACTAGAGACATGCACTATGGTTCTAGCTGCAAGGGCCTTACACCCAAGATAAGGAGAATGGGCGCATATACTTAAAGAGGGCATAATCTTACAAGCCAGTGTTAGTATGCTGAGTGTCCCATACAAGCAAGTCTGGCCATAGTGCTTCTCATATTCAGAGGCGGGTACAGTCATTAGGGGGTGCTTTTATAGAACATTTCAGTTTCCATTATTCTTCTGACTGGGTGTTGAAAAGCAGTTATTACAATAGTTTTTTTTTTTTTATTTTGACTTCCTGATGCATCTGCAGATGTGCACTGAACTTAATACTGTAGTCACAATGGTGACTTTACATCATTCAGGGAGTCATTCCTTAAGCCTAGCTAGAGTCCTTCCACTTACTTTATAAGTACATAATTCCCTGTATTAAAATCTTTCCTGCCTAAAATACCTAAATGGCTTCTGTTTCCTGTACTGAACCTGCCTAATACATGGAGGAATTGAAATTTCAGGTGGATCTTAAAGATATGGTCAACTTTTGACATAGAATGAGAACCCAGAGAGAACTTCAGGCAGAGGGAATAGAGTGAGCAAAGATTAAAAGGCAGAAATGGCCATGGCATTTTTTAGAAACATTGAGGAAACTGATTACAGAAGAGAATGATAGAGTTTCCTGTTATACAAATTTCTTTATTTCCTATCAAATCCTAAATGTTTTCATCTCTTTTTCTTTTCCACTTCCTTTTCTTCTTTCTCTCTTCCCTCTCCTTTCTTTCCGCATATCACTTGTCTATCGCTTTAACCTTCCATGTCACACAGTAGCATTCATAGACATTGCTTACTTATTTTGGGGGCCTTCAGAATTAAAGAAGTTGCTGCACCTCCAAAGTTTTGTTCTTTCCACTGAATATTCCACTATTAGGTCAGCAGGCTCAT
This sequence comes from Homo sapiens, assembly GCF_000001405.40. NCBI lineage: Eukaryota > Metazoa > Chordata > Mammalia > Primates > Hominidae > Homo > Homo sapiens. The sequence continues at coordinate 100,202,758 of NC_000009.12, forward strand.
TCTTGAACTTGGCTCTATTACTAAGCAGTCTCATTCATAAATTTAGTCTCCTTAGACTAACTAGATTTATTGTGGGCTATCAGAAATCCTCCCCAGATGTGCATGACTGCACTTGGAAGCTTTGAGCTTTACAGCCCTGTTTACTGCCACCTGATTCTAACCAGAGCAATATCTCTTATCCATTGGCAGAAAAGAGTTAAGGATGTGATAGGGAATTTGAGTTAGTGGTAGGCATGAAAGTAATGTGATGGGCTTGTAGAGGATGAGTGCAAGGCATGTTGGAGGCAATAACATAGATATTTCACCATAGCTCTCAGCAAATTATATCTCCTAAGGTACAAAGCATAAAGTCCAACATACATTTGATGTTTAGCATCTATAGTATTTGGTGAGCCATTGTGAAGCACATACCAGTTACTTTTGATAAAGTAGCTTGAAAGAACTCTTGATTTTTTTTTAAATGCTTGCTTCAAACATACCCTGTAATTTTGTTTTCCTGCCCCATTTACTGTTACTCATTCTCAATCTTTTATATTGCCTATTACTCAGTAGCTCGACTTCTTGTTGTTAATAACTGTAGTCTCGGGTAACTTTTTCTTTGTCTTTGTGAACATTTTTTTCTCAAGTTTATTTTATCCAGGCTAGGTATTTAACAGCTCTGTGTTTCTTATAAAAAGAAATACAAATTATAAAAGCTAAAATGAACCTTGAAAAACATTTACTGCAGCATTTCCCAAAGCTTCCTTTTTTTTTTTTTTTTTTTGAAACAGAGTCTCACTCTATCATCTAGGCTGGAGTGCAGTGGCATGATCTAGGCTCACTGTAAACTCTGCCTCCCCAGTTCAAGCGATTCTCCTGCCTCAGCCTTCCAAGTAGCTGGGATTACAGGCATGCGCCACCATGCGTGGCTAATTTTTGTATTTTTAGTAGAGACAGGTTTTTACCATGTTGGCCAGATTGGTCTCGAACTCCTGACCTCAGGTGATCCGCCCGCCTCAGCCTCCCAAAGTGCTGGGCACGCCCAGCCCCAAATCTTCTTTCTTAAAGTAATATTCACATGTAATGTTGTGTAAAAAAATGGGTCCCATGGTCAGATAAGTGTAGGAACTACTGCATGTTTCTCCTTGAAAATTTAGCATGTATAAGCATTCTAGAAGCTCTGAGAAGTTGCACAGTGAAGAAACCCATTAATTTTTTAAGTCCAAAATTTCTCATAATCATTTGATCCCAATGCTTTTTTTTTCCAGCATAAACTAACAGCATTTAAGGAAACAGTGATCTGTAAAACACTTTGGTAAATAAAATACTAGTTTATAACTTAAATGAATTTCCTCATTTCACAATTGAGGAAACTGAGGCCCAGAAAGTTGTTTTATTCATCACAATTAAAAACAATGCCTTACACAAAGAAGGTACTAAATAATTGTTTGGTAAATTGAATGATATATTTATGTTTAGATAACTAGTTAGAGCCAGGACTAAAACCCAGCTGTCCTGACAAGTTAGACCTATAGCATTTAATAAGGATAATGCAGTTCACTTCTATTCACTGCTATTTAAGCTGATGATAAAAACATTTTATAATTGCTATTAAAAAAGCATCATATGCTGGTTTAAAAGGCAAACTAAAGAAGTTGAATAGTTGGCTGATGTTTTAAATCGACTTAGACCACAGGTATCTATCTCTTTAGTTTTTAACAGTGTCAAATATTGGTCTCTTGATATTGTTCAGAGCACTCTGGGTTTTGAAAAAACAGTTCAAGTATGTGCAAAGGCATCTGAAAGGGGAATTTTCTGAAGCTTTTTCTACTCCCATGATTCTCACAAAATTCTTCAATTCATTCTAGTCTAGAAAGTAATGGATCTTCCATAAAGATGTGCTAATCCCAAGGTGATCACAAAAAAAAAGATTTTCCCACCTCTGAACAGGTTTCTTTTGTTGTTGTTGTTGTTTTGCTACTTTTTTTTAAGTATGCTTAGCATGTTATACCAAAAATAATGTTTCTTTTTTATATAAAATATTGTACTATATATATAAGAAATACCTCAGAATTTCTGTTTTTAAGGACTCCATTTTGGCATGATATTTTTTGGTCATTACCTACTTAGCTATGTCATATTTTAATATCACCAAAGAAAATATCTTAAAATGAAATTCTTGAATTGCGCTTGACCTTTCCGGTTGACAGTCAGCTTAAATTATATAGTATCTCCCATTATCTCACAACAGATGTCATCTCTTAGGAATGCTTCCTTTCATTGAAGACACTGTGACAATAGGAAAGGGATGTGGGGTGAAAAAAAAGTCACGTATCTTTTGTTTATCTGCAAAAGTCTGTGCATAGTTTTTATTGCTGAAAATAAACATGTATCATGATTGGTGTATGGGGGTTCACATTAGTATCAGAAGTTTTTATGGCCACTCTGCTGGTGACCTAGTATATTGTGCTGTTTTCTCAACTGCCTTTGTAAACACAGTAGCCTTAATAGATCATTTTGAAAGAAGCTGCCATCCTGCTGCATCTGTTGGTAGCCTTTCTCAGGTTTCTGACATATCCTTAATCTGATGCTCAGCCTTGTCATTTGGATCAATAGTAAACTAGATAAGATGTCTTCTACTTGCAAGGCTATGGCTATAAAATGTATTTGAAAAATAAATTCACTTTTTATGTCCATGCCACAAACCTGGGGAGTACTAATTTGTCATTCTCTCTCCATCTGTCTGTAAACAGTCAGTTAAATTGGTTATTGATGAGAAGAAGGTGAATTATACTTGAAACAAGAGTAATATAGAAATAAACTTCATAGTAAATGTCTTAGATTCCTACAAAAAGGTGACATATTTTAGCTGTTGTCTTAACTTTAATCTCTAGAATAATGAGCAATTTGTTTTATATTTTCTATTCCAAATCATCAATAATAATTATAATTAATTATAATTATAAATTATACTTTACAAACCACTCACATATAGTATTCAATCTTGATAATCTCTATAACTATCCATTTTACAATTTGTAAAGCATTTATTTATTCAAAAAATGTTTATGTAGTGCCTACTATAAATGAGGCACTGTGCTAGGCACTACAAATTCTCTATACAAAACAAAATTGTGATGATAGAACATGTTAGAATTGTAGCATTTTAATGTTAGAAGGAATCCTAGAAATCATCTACTACTAACTTCTCATTTTACAGGAAACTAGATCTTAGACAGTTTGTGAATCATGCTCAACCAGCTATTTAGTGACTTTTTTTCTATTATAGGATATAAACAGATAATCTTTTAAAAGTAAACCCATAGTTTAATCTTTTTGAATGTATATTTCCTCATCTAAGTAGTGAGAATACTTCTGGTTTTCACAACAAGAATACTGTGAATATTAAGTAAGGCATGAGTAGGGAGCATTTTGAAATTTAAATATAATCTGAGGATAAGAAACAACTCCTTGTAGACAAGAGGAAAAGAGTATGTAAAAATGTAAACTGCGATTACCTCAGGTTTAAGAGGTGCAGGCTGATCACTGTTTTCTTCTTTATACTTTATTTTTGACATTCCTTTAATGGACATGTTATTACTTTTATAACAAAAATTTTAAGTTTTTTTTCTTTTTTTCTAACTTTATGTTTTGATATAATCTCAAATTTACAGAAAAGTTTCAAGAACAGTACAAATAATTTTCATATACTCTCAAATTCCTCAAATGTGCACATTTTGACACGTGTGCTTTATCCTTCTCTCTACTTTGCCTTGATATATGGGAATGTGTAGATATTGCCTTCTGAATCATTTGGAGTAAGTTGCAGGTGTGATACTCCTTTGCCCCTAAATTTCAGTGCATAGTTTCTAAAAACAAGGACATTCTCTTACATAGCCACAGCTCAATTATCACAATCAGGCAGTTAACATAAATAATATTATCTCATCCAAAAATCTTACTTAGATTTTGCCCATTGTCCCAACAATGTCATCTATTTAAAAAAAAAAAAATCCAGGATCAGGCACTCCATTCAATCATTTATGTCTTTTTAGTCTTCATTAATCTGCAACAGTTTTTCAGTCTTTTGTGTATGTATGTGTGTACTTCATGATATTCACATGTTGTAAGTATACAGGCCAGTTAAATTGTACAGTAGCCTTCCTTTTTAATTTGTCTGATATTTCCTTATAATTAGATTCAGATTATGCACTTTTGGTAAGAATACCACAGGAGTGATGTTGTATTCCTCTCAGTGCCTCATATCAGGAAGCATGTGTCATCAATTTGTCCCAGTAATGGTGTTAATTTTGGATTATTCACTTGAATAAAGGAGCTCCTGCCAGGTTCCTCTGCTGTGACGTCACTATTTTTTCCATTGTAACTATAAATAATAAGTATCTTGTGGGAGCTAATTTGAAACTATATAAATATCCTGGAACCGTCCAACCCACTCTATTGTTAGCATCGTTTGACCACTCACACCTGAGTTGGTTGTTATGATGATGGCTGCCACATGAAAGAGTTATTTATTTATTCATTCATTTTTTATTTTTTGTTTATTTATTTATTTTTCAGGCAGAGTCTCACTCTGTCACCCAGGCTGGAATGCAGTGGCACTATCTTGGCTCACTGCAACTGCTGCCTCCTGGATTCAAGCGATTCTCATGACTCAGCCTCCCAAGTAGCTGGGAATACAGGCGTGCACCACCATGCCTGCTAATTTTTGTTTTTTTAGTAGAGATGGGGTTTCGTCGTGTTGGCCAGGCTAATCTCAAACTCCTGACCTCAGGTGATTCACCTGCCTCATTCTCCCAAAGTGCTGGGATTATAGGTGTGACCCACTGTGCACAGCTGCACAAGTTATTTTTAAAACCACTGCTTATTTAAGATATACAGTTAGATGTATACTTAGATGAAAACTATGCAAATCCTCTCTCTTTTTAAACAAAAAAACTAAAAAGGATTAGAAGAGTTTTCACAGAAATGCTAGCAGAGCTTGTGTTAGGCTTAGGGTAATAAAATTGTTGGTAACCTTTTTTCTTACTTTGTTTTCCCAATTTTTAATAGTTTTTCAAAATTTTCAATATATGTAAAGCATAAAATTTCTAATTTTTGAATGTGTTTCTAAAATTTATGTTTGTTTATTTCCATTTGGTCCACAAAGGGCTTGAGGGAGATACTAAAATATTGATTTCAGAATTGTAGTGTGCTTGCACTTGAAAGAATAGTTAGATTACAGTTAAAACATAGCTATAACAAACAGGACATCTACCCTGGCATAAACTACAGATTGACACAACTAAAATAGTCTTTAATCTGCAAATCTTTATTCCTCACTTCAGCCACCAAGCTGTAGCATTATGCTTTCTCAACTCGGTTGCTTCTCTTAGTTTCAAATAAAAAGGTCTAAAATGGTGGCAGACAGATGAAGAGCAGTATAGAGTTCAGGGATTGACTTGCAGATGGAGGTATGTTTTGATATAATTTTTTAAAGATGGCTAAATTTGAAACTAGAAGATACAATTTTGAATTCAAGCACTCACTGTGAGGATTTAGGCTACCATTTTGAAAATGGATAATAGTTACTAAGTCAGATTACTAGTTATGGTCAGCATTTGATTAAACCCTTTAATGCATGGTCTGAATGAGGTTCATTAAAGGTTTTTTAGTATAATCGAATTTACTTACACATTTGTCTGTATATTTGTCTTTTCCCACCATCTAAGAAATCCCATCCATAGTGTGGAACTGAAGTAGAGAAGGCAAAAGATGGATTCAATCAGTTGTTTGAAACAGGTCCCCCAAAGGCACACATCTTCGCAGAGTAGGTGAATTGATTTTTCTAAACTGCATGCTAGGATCAATAAAACTAAGGTACATTGTTGGAAAACTAAAGATGGAGCCTACAAGACTTGGGGTGCTTCAAAGGAACCAGGAGTTAAACAAAATTTGTTGCATTTAGCTTCTGAGTTTAATATTAAAATATGATGTTTTAATAACTTTGCTTGCAGTGTCACTGAGAAGGCTGGTCAGGGTCAGTAAGAAGAACAGGCTACACAGATTATCATGGACATCAAACAATGAGAACATTAGGAGCAAATGAAAGCTGTTTTGTTTACAGATACTACTTTTATGATGAGAGGAGAGCAATGATGGTATCTGAGAAAGAAACCAATATTTGTTGAGTACTCGCTGTGCACTGGTCACTTTTTTTTCTTTTTTACCAATGGGAAATCTGAGGCTTTGAGAAGTAACTTGCTCACAGTTATTAATAATATAGCCAATGAAGTGCCCAGATCTGACTGGTTCCAAAATCCATTCTCATTTTATTACACCGTACTGCCTCCCCATGGAGTAGCATTTTTGGATCCCCTAAAGCGAACATCAATATGCTAGGAAAATGAATTACTTGTGCAGTATTGGGAAAAAGGAAATGGATGTAAAAACTGTTACCCTGTGGTTAAGGAAAATAAAAATTATTAGAAATTAAGTCATTGTTGAGTCAGTTAGAATAAAAAACATTTAGTTTTGAAGTAGCTATAGGGAGCAGGTCTTCTGCCTTTTAGAATTAGAATCATAGAGTCAAAGGACATTAAGCTGGGTGGGCTTTAGATCAGAATCCACCCTCCTTATTTTTCATGTGGGAGGAAACAGAGGCTAGGAAAAATTCAGTGATTTGCCTTTGGGTGTGGGAGTGTTCTGGCTGAGACCTCTCTCATGTCCCTCCCTTACTTAAATCCTTCAGTACTGGCCGGGTGCAGTGGCTCATGCCTGTAATCCCAGCACTTTGGGAGGCCAAGGCGGGAGGATCACAAGGTCAGGAGATCGAGACCATCCTGGCTAACACAGTGAAACCCTGTCTCTACTAAAAATACAAAAAATTAGCCGGGCGTGGTGGTGGGCGCCTGTAGTCCCAGCTACTCAGGAGGCTGAGGCAGAAGAATGGCATGAACCTGGAAGGCAGAGCTTGCAGTGAGCCGAGATCGCGCCACTGCACTCCAGCCTGGGCAACAGAACGAGACTCCGTCTCAAAAAAAAAAAAAAAAAAAAAAAAAATCCTTCAGTACTGCTTCAGAAGACTGAAAGGAAAAGCCCAAACTCCTTGACCCTGCACTTTTCGTCATCGAGTTCTTGCTTATCTTTTGGGCTTCAGTGTCCTGTGTCTCCAGTTCTACTCTATCCTCAGACATACTGTGTTTTTAAAGCTTTCATTCTAGTCACCTCTTTTTCATCCTCCACACACAATGCCGTCGCACATTCAGCTTCCTTCCTACTTTAAGCTGGCTTAATTGCATATACTTTCAACATGCAGCTCAGGCACTGTTTTCTCCAATAAGCTTCTACTGACCCCTCAAGGCTGGGTTAGGTGCCCCTCTACAGAGTTCTTACTACCGTGTGTCCTTACCTCTATCATAGAACTGATCTCATTGTATGACAGCAGTGAATAGCATTGCATATGGTTTCACTTTCTATTACGGTCAAAGGGAGGGATAGTGTGGGGGTTATTGGAGCATGTAATAAGTGGATCCAAGAGACATGATATACACAACTTACTAATGTTGGCTTCAGAATATGCATATAGGAGGAGCTTATGGGGACAAATTGATTGGAAGGAGTGGGAGTAAGATTTGAAGCTGTCTTTATATAGCACTTTACATAAAATTCAGAAAATACTTATTGCCCTCCATATCAAAGAAATTGGGAGCAGGAACAAGATGGAGACATTGAGGAGTGTCAAAGTGTTAGTAATCCTAAGTTAAGATCCTGTTCAACTGCCATCTCTTTCATGAAGTCATTCTGTTCTAACCCCTTCCCCTCTTCACAAGGACATCTTGGGGAAGTCACAAGGAATGACTTTTAAGTACATCATCTATCCTGTCTTTGTGTTCTGTTTTTGTATCCTTTTTGTGCATTTACCCTTCCTTGCTTATAATTTTGCATTGCATACAAGCGTACATCTGTATAAAGCTTCCCCAACTCTTAGCATGGAGTCTGATACAGAGTAATTACATCAAAAATAACCATTGAATGTTGAATGAATGGTTTAATTAGGTCAGTGCTTCTCAATCCCGGTTGCATTTTTGAATCACCTACCGAAAATTTAAGAAATATTAATTCCAAAGTCCCAGAAATTCTGATTTTGTTGATCTAGGATGGGAACAGACTTTTTTTTTAAGCTCCTAAGGATTGAGAACTCCTAGATTAGGTTCTTTGTTTCAACAGTGGTTCTCAAAGTTTAGGATTCTAGACCAGCAGCAGCAGCACTTCCCAGAAACTTGCTACAAAATGCAGATTCTTGGCCCCTACACCAGTGAATGACAAACTCTGCGGGAGGGCCTATGTGTTTTCAAGCCCTCCAGACGATCTTGATGCATGCTAGAGTTTGAGAACTTCTTTTGCTAGAGTTTAAGACAAAAAAAAAATGTTGTCCTTAAATAAAATACCAACTGTGAGAAACCAAATATACTTTATAATCATCCTAAAAGGTTGTACCAATTTAAAGCACCACTCTAAATAAATCAGAGTACCTCACAAGCACAACAGAATTATCCTTGTGGAAATAAGCATCCCAGCATTTTATAACTTTTTTCAATATTTATTTTTGGTTAGTTTCCTATATATAAAAGGCTCTCCAATGAAGGCATTAATTTTCATAATAATCTAAATAAAATAGGCTATATTAGTCAGGAAGAGCACCTGAAAAATCTGGCATTGGATAAGGAAGCCTCAGAGTCAAGAATACCTTTCCATAATTTCCTCTCATAGAGAAAAGCCTTTTTTTGACAGTAACATTTTCTCCTTCTCTCATTTGTGCTGTTTGACTCCGTGCCACTTGATAGCTCTGTCTATTCCTATGGAAACCAAGTTAGTGGATGGAGCCAAGGCTTGGAGAAGGCATTGGGGGGAAATATTAGAAGAGTTCAGCCTTAGAGCAACTAAAGATGTTGCCTTTCCCTCAGTCAAATCCTCTTTGAGAGCCAGAACTATTTCAAGCCAGAGAGATGTTCTTGGCTGATGTATTGTCTAGCTGCTCTGCCAGATGGATGAACATCTTAAACTTGGAAAATAGCAAATAAAGCTCCTATTCTGTCTTTGGAGCACATTCTTAGCCTTTGCTTACAGAATTGTCAAATAACTAAAAAATATATTTTTAAAGATTTGCTTAAGATGGCAGGTTAGTGATGTGGTTCTCATCATATTTGTTAAGTACTTAGAAATTTTAGCAATAAAACACAGAATTAAGCCTTGACAATCAGAAGTTTAAGTAAAGAGGAAGAATGTCGGTCAGTGGAAAAAGCAATGCAGATTTCATTTTATTTCTGTAGCTCAGTGAATTTATGTCTTTCATGAGTTGATTGCTGTAACTGTTTGCTTCCCTATAAAATCACTTTAAAGACTAAGCAACCAGAGTACAAACAGACATCTAAATCAACTGAAATAAGAAAATTATCTAAGCATACAAGAAGGCATTCTCCTTTCTAATCCATTTCTGCTCTACATTTTATATGGCACTGGTAGCTAACTCATGATTGCATTGTACTGAGCCATTTATGTGGATATTTATATTATGTTTATATTTCAAGAAGGGTGTAGAGATTCATATTTCCAATTTATATTCTTTGATTTATGTCAGAAAATTAATGTCTTCTGAGAAAACAGTTGAGACAACTATTAATATAGATGCCTCATAAATCTATATCTTGAATCTAGCCATCTCTTCTAATGTTCAGGTCTATATGTATCTGCCCCTCCCCAACAACCTTTTCTTTTTGCTAGACCTCTCTGCATAGATTCCCTTCAGGTGCCTCAAACTCCACTTTAGAAAAAAAAAACAGAACTCAAAAATTTTTATCCCTAACCCTATTTTTTTCTCCCATCTCTTCAGTTGTTGGTAACACCCTCTATCTGGTAGCCATTCAGGAATCTTCTTATGTATTTCACTGATCTCTTCCCTTATTTCCATTTAGCTCTCAACATTTCTATTGTGGGTTGCTGTAATAACCCCCTTACTGCTCTGCTTGCCTAAAGATTTTTTCCCCTCAAATCAGTGCTTCACATAACCTCCAGTGTCTTTTCTAAAAACACAAATCCAGTCATGTCATTTCCTTCTTAAATCTTCTCTTTTTCCTGTCTTAGTTTGCTTGGCCTTCTATAACAAAAATACTTTAGACTGGATGGCTGGAACAACAGACATTTATTTCTCACAGTTCTGGAGGCTGGAGAGTCCAAGATCAAGGCACCAGCAGATTCTGTGTCTGGTGAGGGCCTGCTTCCTGGTTCATAGATGGCTGTCTTCTTGCTGTATCCTCACATGACAGAAGGGAGTGAAAGAGCTCTCTGAGGTCTCTTTTTAGGGGTACTAATCCCATTTATGAGCTCCACCCTCGTGATGTAATCATCTTCCAAATGTCCCATATCCTAATACCAAGACATTGGCGTTAGAATTTCAACACATGAATTGGGGGGGTTTGGGGGTTGGGGGGACATATATTCAGTCTGTAGCACTCCTTTTTACCAATATGATCAACTTTAGGCTCCTTATCATAACATATTAGACTATCCATTTTATAACCCCTGCTCACCTCTCTGATCTTACTTTTCACTTCCTCTTACAGTGCATTTCTTTTCTTTTTTCTTTTTTTTTAATTAGAGAAAGGGTCTCACTATGTGGCTCAGGCTGGTTTCTAACTCCTGGGCTCGAGTGATCTGCCCACCTTGGCCTCCCAAAGTGCTGGGATACAGGCATGAGCCACCATTCCTGGCCCTTACAATGCATTTCATATTACAATGATATTGAATTATTTGCGGAGTTTGAGATGAGATTTTACCCTAAATATAAGCTAAGAAGTTAGTCTGTTACTGTTTCATGGATGCTAACAATAGATACGAGACTCCGCAGTCAGAGACAAAGTAGTTTACTACTCACAACACAGCAAAAAGAATGAGCACCACGTCTATGCTTCCCTTGCCCCCAGAGAACATGTGGAAGTTGCAGAGGCTGCACACAGTGGGTTTTCATCACAACTGAGGAACACCGAACTTCAGGAATCTACCACTTTTATAGTAAGCACTTAGTAAGCCCAGAGGAAGACATTACCTCATCTCTCCAGTTGCTTGTTGCAAACACAACCCTGAAAAATTACCTAAGTAAAGAGTGGCCAAGACTTTGCATTCTTGGCATACCCAGTAAGAACGTTTAGGAATGCTTCAGGCCCATGGTAGATTGACTCTTCCAACAACCCATCCCTCAGCCCAGCATTGTCTTGACATGAGTATGCCACTACATCAGCTACTTTTATTTATCTTACCAAGAGAGACTAGGACCATCGCTTTAATTTGTCTCATACAGCACTTACTTAACAAGACTCCAAGTAGCAGGATAAAAACATCCTGTAATATTGGTATCAACTATGTCCCTCAGTATCTTGGACTAAATCAACTGTGAATAAGCCCCAGAGGAGAAAGTAGATCTTACTTTATACAGCTAGGATGTAATCTAAGTCTGGTCTGTTATCTATTTTGACCCATGCAAGGGAGTTTAGACTGACATGCTAATCTTTGGCCTCGTTGCAGATAGTTACAGGAGGCGCTAGATTACAGGGGCCAAAAAGCAACCCCCAAGCTCAAAGGTGGAATACACCATGGCCTACTCTTTCCTACATACAAACATGTAGCCTAAAGAGGCTGAAATAAAGAGTCACTTTATTTCAGGATTTGTCATTAAACTTGGATCAACCATTACATTGATTTGTCTAAGCCACATGGGCAGTATCACTAAGTAGTTGTTACTTCAGTTGCCATGCATGGCATAATCCAAAGCTGCTCACATGTCAGAAGAAGCATATGGATTTGTGTACATCAGATTAAAATAAGGTTGTGCCAGTCCCTTTGCTTCCATGTATACAACGGGGTCCACATTCAGGAGCTGTCATTGATGGTATCAAGCACAGCAAAAGAATTAAGAACCACCAATGCCCATGTGAATTTTTCTGTTTCATAGCAAGCACATGGTCAGAGATAAAACAGACGCAGGTCAGATGGCTGGCCTCAGCTGCTGTTTGATTCAGGTAGCTCACTATATATTTGTTTTGCCAGGATGCACTTGCGGATCCAGAGGACAAAGAAAGTATTAATTGTCCTCCCCATCCCTGTACTTCCTGAGGTCTCATGTGTTTCCTTCCTAGGGGCTGAAGTTGTTGCTTTCCTTCTTTGGCCACATAGTTAATGTGTCCCATTCCAGTAGATATAACTTCGCCTTTTCTCCAATCATCCCCTACTTGTGCCTGTAGCTTATAGAAGGGTAAGTACATATGGGACAAATTTAGAAACCTATTATGTCTTCCATTTTGGCCTATATGGACCACTATAGAATGACTCAGTGAGCAGGGCACTCAATCAGATGGTCATTATGGATATTTATGATCTGGGACCTTATCAGTTGAACAAAATGAATCCAGGTGGGTAAACCCAAATTAAGCTTGAATCTCTAAGCCCCCTTTTGGCTGGCTGCCACCCAAGGGATATATGAAACAAACCATCCTGAGATTGCTTTTGGGAAAAAGAAAGAAGCAAGATAACCAGGGTTGGGCCAGGCAGAATCCCAAATTTTCAAAACAGATGTATATAATCCCCCACTCCTTTTGTCCTGATTATTTCCCAGGAGGCTACAAGGATGAAATGAACCCTTTCTGAAGGTGGCCACAGTTAGTAAGCAAACTGCTTCATACAGGAGTGTGGACCAGGAGGAGGTAAGAGAGGTGGAGCCAGAAACATTTTTGAGTTGATTTTCAAGAAGGCCTTTCCAAGCTCTCAACAATTCCAGATACCTGAGGATGGTAGGAAGCATGGAATGTCCATTAAGTACCTAACTATTGGCTCATTGTTAGGCATATCATGGTCAGACTATAGAAGGTCTAGGAACCCCAAAACATGGTCCTCAGTGCTATAGCTTGAATAGGCTAATCAGATTGGAGCAGCAACTCCATATGGTGGAGCAGCAACACCATAACCTGAAAAATGTCTATGGTGGAAAGGCACGAGGTGAGCCCAAGAGGAGGTGACAGAGGTCCCTGCTGGGAAGGGGCAAGGGCAATCCTCCATGTAATGTGGACTCCTTCACCACAAGAAAAGGAGGCCAACTGGGCAAGATACATAAGTCTGGTATGCAGTGGTATCTTCTGCATGAAAAACATACCTTTTACTTTGTATCCATTCTATTGTGGTGGGTTCATTGCCTTATCTAGTGCAGTGATGGATCCTAGTGGCAAATCCCAGTGACCAGGCAATACAGACTTGTTCAGCGACTTGATTTCAGTCGGTCTTATCAGAGAGCAGGCCCTTACTGTTACTGTGGGTATCTATGTGAGTGACCCAAAGTGTCTGATTGGCAGCCACAATTTGTTTGTAGTTTGTGGCCCCAAACAGGAATATCTTTAATTTACCAACTGTAGTCTTCCAAGTGGCAGACCAGGTGACTACAGTACTGTTAGCAGACCAAGAATCAGTAAAAATACGGCTAGTCTTTGGGAGTATTGCCTAAGGTAAGGGTGATGGCTTTTCATTTCAGCCCATTGGGCTAACTGGTCATTACCACTCAGTCTCCTGGAGCTGTCATTGAGGTTGGACAGCTACTGCCCCCTACTGGACACCATCGGGTTTTAACTTAGCCAAAGCATCAGCAAACCAGGCCAAGGCATTTAAGGGACCATTAAGCCAGCAGCTTTGCTTCAGACAGTGGCCACCTGTATACCCAGTGCTTTGTCCTCAATGTCAAATAAGTCAGGCTAAAGCAGGAATCAGATACATAGAACAGTTGACTCTGTCCTATTAGGCAAGGTTTTGCATTCACATTCACTTTTGAGCACCTGCTCACTCATGTCTCAACCAAATGAACTTCTAATGTTTTCAATCCACCTAAAGATCCATGTCAAATAGCAAAATCTTCATTGTTCTCTCCATTTATTTCTGTTTTGGAGATTTCTTGGCCCTGCAGCCGCAACCACATGGTCTTTCAGCTTGCTGCCCCCGTGGTCATGTACCATTCCTTCTTTTGCCTGCCCAGAGGAAGGTGAGCAAAAACAAAGGCACTATTTGGGTGGCTTGCTTTAATCCCACCTCTCACCATTCAGACTCATTAACAGAGAGAATACTGGGGTCACTCGCCCCTTAACCTTGCCCACCACCTGGGCATGATCTCAGGGGGTCTTCTCACCCTTGAACCTAAGGATACCTGAGAATGGGCCTCTAGGGTTCTTGTCCTTACTCTTCAAGAAAACTATGTCTCTCCAGCTGGGTGCAGTGGCTCATGCCTGTAATCCCAGAACGTTGAGAGGCCGAGGTGAGTAGATCACTTGAGGTCAGGAGTTTGTGACCAGCCTGGCCAACATGGTGAAACCCCGTCTCTACCAAAAATATAAAAATTAGCCAGGCATGGGGGCACACACCTATAATCCCAGCTACTTGGGAGGCTGAGGCACAAGAATTGCTTGAACCCGGGAGGCAGAGGTTGCAGTGAGCCAAGATCGCGCCACTGCACTCCAGCCTGGGCGACAGAGTGAGACTCTGTCTCAAAAAAATAAAAGGAAGAAAGAAAGGAAAACTATGTCTCTGTCAGTATCCTATCATCTTTTACTGTCTTGTCAGTTCTGGCATTTAATTAACCCTATTTACAAGGTAATAAGTTAGCTGCAGATGCTGGCAGAAGACACAAGACTCCCATCAGAGACGAAAAGCGTCATTACTAATGGCATAGCTAGGAGCTAGGAGTACTTATCTGTTTGCATGAGTTTCCCTCCCCTCCAAGGATTATGGGGGCAATATGGAGGACTCAGATGGGCCCAGCACACAGTGGGTTTGCATGACATCTGAAGAGTGCTAGATTTTGGGAATCTCCAGCTTTTAGTAAATAGAGTAGTAAGCAAGCCTGCTTGTTCTTTGCCCTGGTGGGTGACATTACCTCGTCACTCAAGATTGCTCACTGCAAACCCCACTCTGGAAAATGGTCCCAGTAAAGTGGAGTCAAGCTTTTGCATTCTTGGCATACCCAGTAAGTACATTCAGGGACATTCAAGGCCCAGGGCAGATTGCCTCTCCCAACACTATTGTGGTATTTCCAAAACTCATTTGTGTCTGCAACCACTACAGAAAAGTTTGATATAATGAAATTACTGATATTTGCGACCTATATACTTCCTAGGGATAGTAATTCTTTTTACAAATTAATACAGTAAATGCCTTGAGAGTTTATAAATACATAATTATATAGCTATAATTATAATTAATAAATCATGTTTCTATTTTTCCATTTCAATTTTAAGTAATGTATTTTGGGTATATAATATATTTAGGATTTAAAATGAACTATGACAGAGTACCTACTTTACATTTGTGTGTGCTATTATAAATATAGTTATCTTTCTAGGCCAAAATTTTATACCAATTTGTAAATGAACAAAAAAATATAGTGAACATTTATATATATATAGTGAGCAATTGTTTTTCTCTCCAAGTACAGTGACAGAAAATATAAGCACTGGGGACACAGAACAAGAATGCAAAGAAATTAATTGGAAAACATGTAGGTCCCAAAGTATTGGTTTTGGGAAAACATCTGGCCTCTTCAGTACTCCAGTGGGGAGAAGGGCCACCGTAGGCAGTTTTAGTCAAGTCTTGGGCATTGAAGTCTGTTAAAGTAATCGTCTCAGCTGAAGAGGAAGCAAATAGCAAAGGCCCCAGGGAGACAGATATAGAAAATATGGTAGCCATTTTGGGGAAAAAATGTAGAGGTAGGATCCAGAATATTTTGAGGATCAGCTGCCAATTATCTATAAGTTAATCATAAAGGCACTTACTGGGAACAAACAGCAGTCCTGTAGAATATGATTTCAGAATAGGGTTCAGGAAGATGCCTCCTTCCTTTTCACTGATTGAAAGGTGGTCATATTTGTGCAAAAGGCAAGAAAATTCTTAGAATTTTGGAATATTCTTTGCCTCACTATGAGGCTACAGCTTTATAGGAAGCTGTTTATCTAGAGAAATGGCAGAAGCAGGACACCATCCAAGCCTCAGGTCAGGAAGCTACTCACTAGCTCACTGTTAATAATTGTGACATCCCTAATATCACTGAAGACAGGGCTCCAGGAGATCTGTGTAGGAGCAGATTGTTATAATGGACTAGGAGCTGGGTGGAAGATGCTCTATGGGTCAACAAGGAGAAAAAAGGAAAACAAAGCAAACAAATGAAAAACAAAAATGAACCTGCAGACAGAAATTTCAAAATATTTGAAGAAATCTAATGCTAACAAAGCAAACAATATTATTCAGATTACGAATTCATTCCTAGTGGGAGAGCATAAATAAAGCAAAAAAATAAGCCACACAGAGAAGATATTTGCAAAACCAACCAAGAATTAGTATCCAGAATACATAAAGAACTCCTATAGATCAGTAAGAAAAAAAAACAAATAGCCAAGTTCAGAAATGAGTTACAACACAAGAAGGCTATTTACAAAAGAAACAAATATCCAGCAAACATATAAAAACATTCCACCTCAATTCGGGAAATGCACATTAAAACACAGCTGTAGGCCAGGCACAGTGGTGCACGCCTGTAGCCCCAACTACTTGAGAGGCTGAGGTGGTAGGATCACTTGAGCCCAGGAGTTGAGTCCAGCCTGGGCAAGCTATAGCAAGACCCCTTCTATTAAAAAACAAAACAAAAAACTGTAACCGTCAGATTGGCAAAAATTAGCAAGTCAGACAAAACCCAGTGTGGTGAGGATGTGGAGAAACAGGAACTCATACATTACTGTTATGAATGTTAACTTGGAGTAGCTATTTTAGAGAGCAATCTCAAACCAGAAGTTTCAGAAATTCTTATGTACTTACCAGGAGATATGTATGAGAATATTCATTACAATATTGGGTAATCTTGAAAAATGAGAAACATGCTAAATATCCCTCTAGAGAAGAATAAATATATTATTTTCATATGACAGCATACTTATTCCAGTGAAAATGTATGAACCCAGGCAACTTGAATAAATCTGAAAAATACTGCTTTGAGTAAAAAATGACACGATTCATGCAAGACCATTTGTACAAAGATTGAAAACATGTAAAACAATACTATGTCGTTTATGGATATATATATATATATATGTTTGTATGAAATAGAAGCATAAAAACATTCATTGGAATGATAAACACCCAATTCAGGATAGTAGTCTCCAAAGAGGGAGAGAAGGTAATGGAATTGGGGACACAAAGGAAGTATTAACTTTATCTGTTAGGTTTTATTACTTAAAAAATGAAAAATCCAAAGCAAAATATCAAAGTATTTTTCTCAAAATCTCCATATCATTGTTATTACCATTAAATAGCTATGTGCTTTTTTTTTAAAAAAAGGAGTTCATCTTAAGAGAACTGGACAGACACAAATATAAAGTTAAAAATCACATTTTGACCTAATTTGTTTCCCAGATTCCTTTCAAGTGCTGTTCTCTGGGTCAGAGAACTTTTAATTCTCTTTCACCCTTTTCATACATTTGGAGAAAATCTAAGTGTCATAATCTTTATGTGACAGATGAAAGAAGCTCTTGGTGTTAATTACAGGAAGATTTAGAGGAAAATTATGACCACCTAATGAAAAACGAAAAAAAATTTATTCACTGTTTCAGAGATATTGGGAAATGTTTTCACATTTCAGAAGCATGATGGACCTGATCATAGCAGAGTAATGTCCTTTTAAATGACTAAATCAAGACCTTCCTGTAACTTCAGCTCCCTTACTTCTGCTTACCTACCATCAGAGTTTTCTTAAGTATATATCCTCTTTTGATCTATTATCTCCTTCGCTCTTATACTATTTCCTACCCACTCCAAAATTATAAAAGCAGACCCTAAAACAAACCGTCCTCCAAACAGGATCAGTTTCTGTATAGCTCTAACAGGTTATACTAAATGATTAACTTCCAGGCCAGGCACAGTGGCTCACGCCTGTAATCCCAGCACTTTGGGAGGCTGAGGCAGGCGGATCACCTGAGGTCAGGAGTTTGAGACCAGCCTGGCCAACATGGTGAAACCTGATTTACCAGGCTTGGTGGCAGGCACCTGTAATCTCAGCTATTCAGGAAGCTAGGGCAGGAGAATTGCTTGAACCCTGAAGGCAGAGGTTGCAGTGAGCTGAGATTGTGCTACTGCACTCTAGCTGGGCAACAGAGCAAGACTCTGTCCCAAAAAAAAAAAAAATAGATTAACTTCCAAATCCTCCAAAAAGTATTTGCATTATAAGAATATTCTCAAAAACATAAGAACTCCTCAGTTCAAGAAATACCGAGGAAGTATTTAGACTTTCTGTAATGAGAAGGTTTTACAGGAAGCAAAGTAGCCTATAACATGGGTCCAAAGGGTCACACAACCTTCAGAGGGTTGTCAAATTAGCTTACTGCCTCAAACTAGTATCTTCCTCTGTTCCATTGATACTAGAAATATTCTCCTGATTTTAGCACTTAAAGTTCTCTGTCCCTTCTGCTCATTCCCAAAGATTGAATTTGCATACAGGACAATTTTTTTTTTTTTTTTGAGACAGGGTCTTCTCTGATACCCAGGCCGGGGTGCAGGGGCACAATCATGGCTTACTGCAGTTTTGACCTCCTGGGCTGAAGTGATCTTCCCACTCCGGCCTCCCAGAGTGCTAGGATTACAGGTGTGAGCCACTGTGCCCAGCCAGTTGCTTGTTTAGGAGAACAAACAGGTTGGCCTTGGTCCAAGTAAATTATATTGTTTCTAGTCCAGCCTTCATAGATAATATCTGATGGGTCTCTGTCATTTGAAATAGGAGATGCTGGCCTCCTCCCCAAGGTACCTGCTAAATTCCTATTGTCTATGCCTTTGTTGGTCCTATATCATCATTATCTGTAGGCAGAATATAGACATCTTTCTCAGTGAAAAAAAAAAATCAGACAAACCACTACTGTAATTCCCCATTATCCACGGTTTTGCTTTCTGTGATTTCATTTACTGTGGTCAACCATGATCTAAAAATACTAAGGTATTTTGAGAGAGAGAGACCACATTCACATAACTTTTCATACACTATATTATTATAATTGTTCTATTTTATTATTAGTTATTGTTAATCTTTTACTGTGCCTAATTTATAAATTAAACTTTACCATAGATATGTGTGTATATGAAAAAAATAGTATATATAGAGGGTTTGGTGCTATCTGCAGTTTCAGATATTCACTGGGGATCTTGGAATGTATCCCCAGGAGATAAAGGGGGACTACTCTATTTATAACATTCTAACTATTTTTACTTTTACCTTTTCCTAATCTTGGTTCTTAATCACTAGCTGAACTGTGTATATTACAATCAGATCTTTCTGTCTGCATGCCCTTTATCTTGGGCCATTCTTGGTTCTATCTGACCATCTATGTTTTGTTGAATACTACACACTGGAAAACTATTTATAATAATAAAAACATCTACTGAGCATTTGCTTTGTTCACTGTTCTAAGAACTTTTACAAATATCATTTGTCTCATTTCATATGCATAATAACTTCAGGTACCATTATTACCCCTGTTTTATATATGAGAAAATAGAGGCACAGGAGGATAATTTATTTAATCTGTGAAAATGTTTGATGATACTTCTGTGAGAAACAAAGATGAAATTATGTCAAAGAGCTTTGTAATACGTAAAACAAAGTACGAGCATTGTACTGTTATCTGCTTCATAACAAGGCTCAATGAATATTTGTTGAATGAATGAATGAGTAAATATCATTACTGAGTTGCACTGTGTCTTGTGAGGGTAGAGTCCTCAGAATAATGTAAAGTGTAAATATGCCAAGCACTGTGTCTATAGCTCAGTAGTTACCCCCACCAACATATACTAGTTTCCTTCTTCTCCTTCCCTTTTCCTCTAATTTCCAATCGAAATGACTGTCTGATTGAATATCTTTAAAGGTCATGATGAATTACTCTGTAATATTTGAAGTGTTATGTTCAGAAAGGTCAAACTTTATTTTTCGGTATGAAGTGTCACACAGATTTGTTTTTCCTGGGCAAACTTTTTTTTTTTTTTTTTCCCCAAAGAAAAGATGGCAAGAAATTTAGAGCAGGGTGCCCTCTTGAGGAAATTTTAGCATCTTCCTTCTCAAGAACTGACATCAAATGAAATGACAAGTCCAGATAAATGATGTACACTATTAATGAAGCTCAGAAAAATGAAACATTAAAAAGTAAGAATAACCAAATACCAGGTATTTGAGAATTAAGATTCTTAACTGTTATGATCTAATATAGCAACTGTAAATAAGAATTTTTATCATTTATTTATTTATTTATTTTTAATTTTTTTTTTTGAGACAGAGTCTCACTGTGTCACCCAGGCTGGAGTGCAGTGGTGCAATCTCAGCTTACTGGAGCCTCCGCTTCCTGGGTTCAAGGATTTTCATGCCTCACCCTCCCGAGTAGCTGGAACCACAGCTTGCACCACCATGCCCGGCTGATTTTTTTTGTATTTTTAGTAGACACAAAGTTTCACTATATTGGCCAGCCTGGTCTCGAACTCCTGACCTCAAGTGATCTGCCCATCTCGGCCACCCAAAGTGCTAGAATTACAGGCATGAGCCACCACTCCCAGGCTTGTAAATAAGAATTTTTAAATGAAAACAAAAACCTCTAGAAGATATTTCATTTCTTCTTATTTACTCATTTCTTCAAGTAATATTTATTAGGCACCTATTCTGTGCCAGGAACTATGCTGAGCACAGGGATCAATAAAACATGGTCTCTGCTTTCATGGAGCTTACAGTTTGTGAGGGAGCTCACACTGAAGAGAAACAAACAAATATATATGTAATTGCAAACTGAGAAAAGTACTATGAGAGAAATGAATAGGTACTAGAATAAAGAATAACAAGTAAGTTCTATTTAGGGTCATCAAGGGAAACCTCTCTGAGAGGAAATATCCAGCAGAGTCCGTTGGCTTTTCCACCTATTCCAAGTCTTCCCATCTAATATAGACAGTCTACAGATCCTCTTTCCTAGCCATGGTCTTTCTTATCTTCTCTTATCTCTGCCCCTGTGGTGGACTGAGTCAATCCTATCTCTGCCCCTGTGGGCAAGCAGTTAGTTCTCATTCGTCCTTCTGCACCTCACTGTCACTCTAGTAACCTTGCCTTACAGCAGGGATGTCCAATCTTTTGGCTTCCCTGGGCCACACTGGAAGAAGAAGAATTGTCTTCGGCCATACATAAAATAGCACTAACAATAACTGATGAGCAAAAAAAACAAAACAAAAAAAAACACGCAAAAAAATCTCATAATGTTTTAAGAAAGTTTAAGAATTTTGTTGGGCCACATTCAAAGCCATCCTGGGCCACGTGCAAGCCAGGTGCCGCGGTGTGGACAAGCTTGCTGTAGAGCTGCACATTCTTCACAGTAGGTGGTCTGCTTGATTAAAAAATGTATTCCTTACTAATATTGATAGTCCCTCATAGGAGAACATCAATGCATTATCATGCTAAAAGGGCCCACTTCTAACAAGGTTAAGGATGACAAATGGACAAATAATCCTGCCTGCCATTATCCTCTGAATAGGGAGAGATAAATAGGCACGAAGTAGGCTGAGAACCTGATCAGGCAATACTGTTTGGTCACACTGACCTTGAAATATCTGAGGTACCAAGCACATAGAAACCTCCAACTGGAAGTAAAAATGAGGAAATAGATCTGAGAAAAGAGCCCAGAAGAACAATTTTTAGAGTCTTATTTTGTTCAAAGCTGCCATGTTACACAGACTTACTATGTAATGGTTGGCCTGGCTCATTAACACTCTTGCTGTGGCCCTTGTAACTAAGCTTCTTTCTCTTTTTTTTTTTGAAATGGAGTCCGGCTCTGTCACCCAGGTTAGAGTGCAGTGGTGCGATCTCTGCTCACTGCAACCTCTGCCTCCCGGGTTCAAGCAAGTCTCTGCCTCAGCCTCCCGAGTAACTGGGATTACAGGCGCCTGCCACCACGCCTGGCTAATTTTTGTATTTTTAGTAGAGACGGGGTTTCACCATGTTGGCCAGGCTGGTCTAGAACTCCTGACCTCGTGATCCCCCCACCTCAGCCTCCCAAAGTGCTGGGATTACAGGCATGAGCCACCGCACCCGGCCTGCTTCTTTCTTGAGGTGGGTTGATTCTACCAGACTGGAGGATTTAACTGACTTGGAGAGTACTGCCTGCAAGTGGGTGGGCCTACCATGACTTCTGAGTTGGCATTTAGGTGACCGTTTGAGTCTGGGATCCAAACTTGGTTTTTTTGTTTTTTTTTTTTTGAGACGGAGTCTCACTCTGTCGCCCAGCCTGGAGTGCAGTGGCACGATCTCGGCTCACTGCAAGCTCCGCCTCCCAGGTTCACGCCATTCTGCTGCCTCAGCCTCCCGAGTAAATGGGACTACAGGCGCCCACCACCACGCCCGGCTAATTTTTCGTAGAGATGGGGTTTCACCGTGCTGGCCAGGATGGTCTCAATCTCCTGACCTCGTGATCCACCCGCCTCGGCCTCCCAAAGTGCTGGGGTTGCAGATGTGAGCCACCACGCCCGGCCCTGGGATCCAAACTTTGAATAAGCTGCCTCTACCTTAGTTGTACCCATAAATAGCTTTCTTTAAGAAAACTAATCATCCATACCTTATTAACCAGAGGTCCTGAACAAAACGTTTAACTACTTTGAATCTCAGTTTCCTCACCTGTAAATTGGGATTTAACATCTCTGCTTATTTCGCATTATTACACTTTGAGTATAAATAATAGGTACTATGTTGGTCAAAATGTGCTGAAACTAATACACCTACACATTGCTGCTGTTAGATAGCAATTTGGAAAATACACCAAACACTGTAAAATGTGCAAACGTCTTTGACCCAACAATTTGGTTCCTGATAATTTATTCTTGTGAAAAAATTAAGAAAAAAAATGTGAAAAAAGATGTACAGTGAAGCATTTACTACAAAAAAAATATTAGAAACATTCTAGATATCTAACAATAATAGACTGGTTAAATAAAACATGTTGTTTTATTTGCAATAAAATATTGGCCAGCCACTATGTAAATTATATTCATGTAGAAAGTTCTTGGAAGGAAACATGAAAAAATAAAACAATTGATAGTATAGTGGAATTACAAGCATTTTTCCTTATTAATTTCTCTGGATGTTATTACTCTAGGAGAATAATTAACATACTTAAAACATTTTAAAATTAAAAAAAATTTTGACCCCATAGTACATTTTTTTCTTATCATCTCTTGTTTTTTATTTAGGGAAATTATCGTTTCATGAAACTCTTACTTACACGCAGAGCAAACTGGATGCAAAAGGATCTGGAAGAGATGACTCCTTTGCACTTGACCACCCGGCACAGGAGCCCTAAGTGTTTGGCACTTCTGCTGAAGTTTATGGCACCAGGAGAAGTGGATACACAGGATAAAAACAAGGTAATGGATACTCAAAATCAAAGACTAATAAGACCAGAAAGCAAATGCTTCCTTTTATGATGTGAAATTTCAAGGAAGAAGGCCTGAATTACCACATATATACATGGTAGAACAATTCCAAATCTCCATACATCTCAGGGAAGTATTTCACTTAAATTCTGTCATTTTATCCTCTCAGCAACCATGTGTGTTAGGTAGTATCATCTTTTTACAGATGGAAAAACTGAAGCTCAGGAAGATTAAAAGTTTGCCCAAGATGCAAGTGGCAGAACTAGAATTCAAATCTAGTCCTGTCGGCCGGGCGCATTGGCTCATGCCTGTAATCCCAGCACTTTGGGAGGCCGAGGCAAGTGGATCAGCTGAGTTCAGGGGTTCAAGACTGGCCTGGCCAACATAGTGAAACCTCATCTCTACTAAAACTACAAAAATTAGCCGGGCATGTTGGCATGCGCTTGTAATCCCAGCTACTCGGGAAGCTGAGGCATGAGAATCGCTTGAAACTGGGAGGCAGAGGTTTCAGTGAGCCCAGATAGTGCCACTGAACTCCAGCCTGGGTGACAGAGTGAGACTGTCTCAAAAAAAAAAAAAAAAAAAAAAAAATCAGTCCTGTCTTAACTCCAAAACCCAATATTTGACAGGGAGTCATAATAGTTACTATAGGTGGTTAGACTCATGATGGCCAAATGCCCATGGCAATGTCCTAAATGCTTAGTGGTTTAGTGGCCTACGCTTTGGTATCAGCCTTCCTGGGTTTCAACCCAGAATCCACTACTTAACTTGTTCTGTGTCCTTGAGCAAATTGCTTAACTCCTCTGTGCCTCAATTTTTGTATGTATGGAAAAAGGTTAATAGGATTACTGTTAGGTTCAGCATAGTATTACATTTCAGTAAATAGAATCAGAACAAGTATAACATAGGAAAAGAAAGGAATTACGTGTTGTTTATTGAAGATGTGGTTATAGGTAATTAGTAAGTGCTATTATACTTGTGGCTTTTTAAAAATCTGCAGTTGTTAGTAAGCAAAAGTAGTAAGTTAAATAGTGAGTGTTCATATTAAATGCCTATAGGTACACCTTGAAGGAATACCATGTATGTCAGTTTCTAAAGTTTTTAATGTGACAGATGAGCTTGGTTCCTGCTCATTAAATTATCTAATTGTAGATTGGATTGCTGACAATGCTACTCACGAGGGCTAATATATATTTAAACAGTTCTTACATTTTTTCTTAATAATTATCCTAATAGGGAAGCCAGTCTTATAGAATTATGTTGACGAGAACAGCAGAAGAGATTTTAAAGCAACTTCAACAAGTTCAAGATGATCATTTTCAACTTTTATCTGAAATAAAGTGTGAACATTGTCAAAATCAAAATGGAGTTGTTTCTGTTTAAAACAACAACAACAAAACCTGACAGAGCCAGGGAAGGCCATGAAGAGAGGATTCTTGTGCTTGTAAGCCTGATTAAAAAAAAAAAAAATCACAGACTGTGCAAAAACCACAGCCTTGCACAAAGGCCATCATAACCTTACACAAAAATTACTTCTTCAAAGACATTTGCCCAGCAACTGCCTGTCCAACCTTGCACTGGCATTATCTTTGTTATCGATCTTTGTAGCCAAGGATCATCATTTGAAAACAATTACGTAATCCTGCTCATTTTTCTTTTAAAAACTTTTGTCTTCCTTTACTTGAGTACACATAGTTTAGCAATGCCCTACTACCAGATACCAAATAAACATTATTTTCTTTCTTTCTTTTTTTTTTTTTTTTTGAGACAGAGTCTCACTCTATCACCCAGGCTGGCGTGCAGTGGTGTGATCTTGGCTCACTGAAACCTCCACCTCCCAGGTTCAAGCGATTCTCATGCTTCAGCCTCCCAAGTAGCTGGGATTACAGGCATGCGCCACCAGGCCCAACTAATTTTTGTATTTTTAGTAGAGACGGGGTTTCACCATGTTGACCAGGCTGGTCTCGAACTCCTGACCTCAAGTGATCCACCCGCCTCGATCTCCCAAAGTGCCGGGATTACAGGCATGAGCCACTGCGCCCAGCCAAACATTATTTTCTTTTAGAGAGACTCTGTTATTTAGGTTGACTAAAGCAAGTGCTGCTGTATTTTCAAAATGTATCTTTTCATCAATAACTGGGTCTAATAATTTATCCTCTAAAATTATATTTAAATTAAAATTTGTCTACTGATACATGGAATGGGTTCCAGATGCATGAATTTCCTATGCATGTATTTTTTTATAGATATTAAAATTCGAAACATCCTGTCAAGTTCTTAAGGTCCTTGGTGATAACCAGATGTGCATTATCAAGATCATCACTTACTTTGTTGATGATTATTTATAAATGACTGGGCCGCTTTCTCTTTCTCAGTGTTATCAGTACCGGATGAACTAAATAACTGTCATGCCTAAGAGGTCAGATTCTGGAGTCAGACTGCCTGGGTTAAAATCTCAGTTCAGCCACTTACTTCCTTTGTGTCCCAGAGCAGATTACTTAGGTTCCGTGTGCTGTTTCCTCATCAATCACATGCAAATTTAAAAACATACTTGTCTCCCAGAGATAGTAAGATGACTGCATGCAATTAAATAGACAATAGTCTCCCTTGTTCAAAGGAAATATATTCCAACACCTCCAATGGACACTTGAAACTGCGGATAGTGTCAAACCCAATTCCCGTCAATAGGAACACATTTCTGTTCATATCTTCTACCCACAAATTTAGTACTTTTTCCGTCTTAACTAAGCACTTATCAGGCACTATGGCCATAATTTTTGCAGTTTGGTATGCAACAGCAAAACCAGCATGAGTTTCTTCTTCCTTCTTTACAGTTTCACAGATAGATTTGTTCTTACGGTAGAGCTTAGCAAACTCAACAAACAATTTTTTCTTATTAAGTTGAGAGCTTTCACCTTTTCACTTAAAGGAAACACTTCATAGCTGCTCTTTGGCATATCTGAATCACCAGTATCAATAATTTTGAGCTTTGGGGCCATTAAGTAAAAGAAGGATGACTTGAACACAAGCACTGTGAATCTAATATTGTGACAATGAATGGGATAACTGAGTTGGCTGCTAGGTGACTAACTGGCAGGGAATGTCTACGGTGGGGATATGCTGAACAAAGGAAGGATTTGTGTCCCAGGTAGGATGGGGTGGGATGAAGCACTATTTCAACATGTTATTTAGAATGGCACACAATTTAAAACTTATGAATTGTTTATTTCTGGAATGTTCTATTTAATATATTTAGACTTCGGTTGAACACAGAGACCTGAAATCATGAAAAGTGAAAACAAAGATACAGGGCAACTACTGTATAAAACTCTTATAACAGTGCCTGTCCCACAATAAAAGATTGGGGAAAGTTAGTTGTTACTGTTGTTATTTCGAGAACCTCTCGATTTTGCAGCAAACAGCTCTGCATTGGAGTGCCTACTACAATAACCCTGAGCATGTGAAGCTGCTCATCAAGCATGATTCTAACATTGGGATTCCTGATGTTGAAGGCAAGATCCCACTTCACTGGGCAGCCAACCATAAAGATCCAAGTGCTGTTCACACAGTGAGATGCATTCTGGTGAGTTGAATGGTACTGCTAGACCTGAATGGCCTTGAAATTTTTTTATTATGAATTATTTAATATATACAAAAGTGTATATTTGACGTACAAGCAAATTATTAAGCAAAAGAATACAACAGACATATGGACTCATCCCCCAAGAAGTAGAACATTTCAGTACCACTATTTAAGACCACATAGAGGTTTCCTATGTCCCAGTTTTTAAACGCATTCATTCCCCCTACGCCGTGCTCATTCCTGTACCCCAGCAACTACTTCCCTGAATCCTGAATTTATATTTATTTCCTTACTTTGTTTCATACTTGTTTTTATTAAACAGTGAATAGATATAAGTATCAGTAAAATACATGTAAAGTATAAATAATAATGAAACAACAAATACTCATATACTCAATATCAAGTTTAAGAAAAAGTATATTACCATTACCTTTGAAGTCCTCTGAGTGGAGTACCTCTCAGTCTCATTCTATTCTCTCCTTTCACAGAGGCAACAACTGTCTTCAATCTTGTGTTATCATTCCCCTGATTTCCATTACCACATTTATTTGTATCCTTAAACAATATATTGCTCAGTATTTAAAGGTTTTGAATTTGATATACAAGGAATTATATTGCATGTTTTTGTTTTTGTTTTGTTTTGTTTTTTTGCAGTGCCCTATTCTTTCTCGCTCAACCTTATGCTGTTTATTTTATTTTATTTTATTTTGAGACAGAGTCTTGCTCTGTCACCCAGGCTGTAGTACAGTGGCATGATCTCGGCTTACTGCAGCCTCCACCTCCCAGGTTTAAGCAATTCTCCTGCCTCAGCGTCCCGGGTAGCTGGGACTGCAGGCGTGCGCCACCGTGCCTGGCTAATTTCCGTATTTTTAGTAGAGACCGGGTTTCACCATGTTGGCAAGGATGGTCTCGACCTCTTGACCTCGTGATCTACCTGCCTCAGCCTCCCAAAGTGCTGGGATTACAGGCGTGAGCCAACGTGTCCGACCACTGGTGATTTTATCTATGTTGCTGCATGTAGCCATGATATATTAATTCTTACTGCTATATAGGATTCCATCTTACGAATAAGCCACACAGTATTCATTCTGTTATTGACAGATACTTTGTTTCCAGTTTTTTGTTATTTACAAACAGTGCTGCATTGACATTTTTGAACATATCTAGGATATATATTTAACTGGTTGTTATAGGTGTATAGGAATGCAGTTGATATTTTTGATCATTGATTACATATCTAACTAATTCGCTAAACTCCTTATTTGTTTCGAATATTTATCAGTAGATTCTTTGAGGTTTTCTAATCCCTCTGTCCCAGCTTCTAATTTACATGCTATGATAGTCCAATAGTTAGTCATATTTGTTTTTAACACACAAATTAGACTTTAAAGTATTATTTTTTAATCGTTTTTTACAACCTCTGATACTAAAAGTATTATTTTGTATATGCAATGCTTAGCTCTGCATTTTTTTTGTATCTCAAATTTTCCTTCTAAAGTTATTATTTTACATCCTGAAATATAGTTCTTAGATTTTTTTTATTATTATACTGTAAGTTCTGGGATACAGGTGCAAAACGTTCAGGTTTGTTACATAGGTATACATGTGCCATGGTGGTTTGCTGCACCCATCAACCTGTCATCTACATTAGGTATTTCTCCTAATGCTATCCCTCCCCTTGCCCCCCACCCCCCAACAGGCCCCACTGTGTGATGTTCCCCTCCCTGTGTCCATGTGTTCTCATTGTTCAACTCCCACTTATGAGAACATGTGGTGTTTGGTTTTCTGTTCTTGTGTTAATTTTCGGAGAATGATGGTTTCCAGCTTCAACCATCTCCCTGCAAAGAACATGAACTCATTCTTTTTTATGGCTGCATAGTATTCCATGGTGTATATGTGCCACATTTTCTTTATCCAGTCTATCATTGATGGGCATTTGGGTTGGTTCCATGACTTTGCTATTGTAAATAATACTGCAATAAACATATGTGTGCATGTGTCTTTATAGTAGAATGATTTATAATCCTCTGGATATATACCCAGTAAGAGGATTCCTGGGTCAAATGGTATTTCTGGTTCTAGATCCTTGAGGAGTCACCGCACTGTCTTCCACAATGGTTGTACTAATTTACACTCCACCAACAGTGTAAAAGCATTCCTATTTCTCCACATCTTCTCCAGCATCTGTTGTTTCCTGACTTTTTAATGATCACCATTCTAACTGGCATGAGATGGTGGTATCTCATTGTGGTTTTGATTTTCATTTCTCTAATGACCAGTGATGATGAGCTTTTTTTCATATGTTTTTTGGCCACATAAATGTCTTCTTTTGAGAAGTGTCTGTTCGTATCCTTTGCCCACTTTTTAATGAGTTTTTTTTTTCTTTTAAATTTGTTTAAGTTCCTTGTAGATTCTGGATATTAGCCCTTTGTCAGATGGATAGATTGCAAAATATTTTCTCCCATTCTGTAGGTTGCCTGTTCACGCTGATGATAGTTTCTTTTGCTGTGCCAAAGCTCTTTAGTTTCATTAGATCCCATTTGTCCATTTTGGCTTTTGTTGCCATTGCTTTTGGTGTTTTAGTCATGAAGTCTTTGCCCATGCCTATGTCCTGAATGGTATCGCCTAGGTTTTCTTCTAGCATTTTTATGATTTTAGGTCTTACGTTTAAGTCTTTAATCCATCTTGAGTTAATTTTTTGTATAAGGTGTAAGGAAGGGGTCCAGTTTCAGCTTTCTGCATATGGCCAGCCAGTTTTCCAAACAACATTTAGGAAATAGGGAATCCTTTCCCCATTGCTTGTTTTTGTCAGCTTTGTCATAGATCAGATGATTGTAGATGTGTGACATTATTTCTGAGGCCTCTGTTCTGTTCCATTGGTCTATATATCTGTTTTGGTACAAGTACCATGCTGTTTTGTTTACTGTAGCCTTGTATTATAGTTTGAAGTCAGGTAGCTTGATACCTCCAGCTTTCTTCTTTTTGCTTAGGATTGTCTTGGCTATACAGGCTCTTTTTTTGTTCCATAGGAAATTTAAAGTAGTTTTTTTCTAATTATGTGAAGAAAGTCAATGGTAGCTTGATGGAAATAGCATTGAATTTATATATTACTTTGGGCAGTATGGCCATTTTCATGATATTGATTCTCCCTGTCCATGAGTGTGGAATGTTTTTCCATTTGTTTGTGTCCTCTCTTATGTCCTTGAACAGTGGTTTATAGTTCTCCTTCAGGGAACTACAATGTGAAGAAGTCCTTCACATCCCTTGTAAGTTGTATTCCTAGGTATTTTATTTCTCTTTGTAGCAATTGTGAATGGGAGTTCACTCATGATTTGCTCTTTGTTTTTCTGTTTTTGGTGTATAGGAATGCTTGGGAGTTTTGCACATTGATTTTGTATCCTGAGACTTTGCTGAAGCTGCTTATCAGCTTAAGGAGTTTCTGGGCTGAGACGATGGGGTTATCTAAATACACAATCATGTCATCTGCAAACAGAGACAATTTGACTTCCTCTCTTCCTGTTTGAATACCTTTTATTTCTTTCTCTTACCTGATTGCCCTGGCCAGACTTCCAATACTATGTTGAATAGGAGTGGTGAGAGAGGGTATCCTTGTCTTGTGCCAGTTTTAAAAGGGAATGCTTCCAGTTTTGCCAATTCATTATGATATTGGCTGTGGGTTTGCCATAAATAGCTCTTATTATTTTTAGATATGTTCCATCAATACCTAATTTATTGAGTGGTTTTAGCATGAAGCGGTGTTGAATGTTATCAAAGGCCTTTTCTGCATCTATTGAGATAATCATGTGGTTTTTGTCATTGGTTCTGTTTATGTGATGGATTACATTTATTGATTTGCATATGTTGAATCAGCCTTGCATCCCAGGGATGAAGCTGACTTGATCATGGTGGATAAGCTTTTTGATGTGCTACTGGTTTCGGTTTACCAGTATTTTATTGAGGATTTTCGCATTGATGTTCATCAGGGATATTGGCCTGCAATTTTCTATTTTTCTTGTGTCTCTGCTAGGTTTTGGTGTCAGGATGATGCTGGCCTCATAAAATGAGTTAGGGAGGATTCCCTCTTTTTCTATTGTTTGGAATAGTTTCAGAAGGAATGGTACCAGCTCCTCTTTGTACCTCTGGTAGAATTTGGCTGTGAATCCATCTGGTCCTGGACTTTTATTGGTTGGTAGGCTATTAATTACTGCCTCAATTTCAGAACTTGTTATTGGTCTATTCAGGGATTTGACTTCTTCCTGGTTTAGTCCTGGGAGGGTGTATGTGTCCAGGAATTTATCCATTTCTTGTAGATTTTCCAGTTTATTTGCATGGAAGTGTTTATAGTATTCTCTGATGGTAGTTTGTATTTCTGTGGGGTCAGTGGTGATATCCCCTATATCATTTTTTATTGTGTCTATTTAATTCTCTGTTTTCTTCTTTATTAGTCTGGCTAGTGGTCTATTTTGTTAGTCTTTTCAAAAAACCAGCTCCTGGATTCACTGATTTTTTTGAAGGATTTCTCATGTTTCTGTCTCCTTCAGTACTGCTCTGATCTTAGTTATCTCTTGTCTTCTGTTAGGTTTTTAATTTGTTTGCTCTTGATTCTCTACTTGTTTTAATTGTGATGTTAGGGTGTCAATTTTAGATCTTTCCTACTTTGTCCTGTGGGCATTTAGTGCTGTAAATTTCCCTCTAACCACTGCTTTAGCTGTGTCCCGCAGATTCTGGTACGTTGTGTCTTTGTTCTCATTGGTTTCAAAGAACTTATTTATTTCTGCTTTTATTTCATTATTTGCTCAGTAGTCATTCAGGAGCAGGTTGTTCAGTTTCCATGTAGTTGTGCGGTTTTGAGTGAGTTTCTTAATCCTGAGTTCTAATTTGATTGCACTGTGGTCTAAGAGACTGTCTGTTATGATTTCCATTCTTTTACATTTGCTGAGGAGGTTTTACTTCCAATTACGTGGTCAATTTTAGAGTAAGTTCTATGTGGTACTGAGAAGAATATATATTCTGTTGATTTGGGGTGGAGAGTTCTGTAGATGTTTATTAGGTCCACTTGATCCATAGCTGAGTTCAAGTCCTGAATATCCTTCTTAATTTTCTGTTGTGTTGATCCATCTAATATTGACAGTGGGGTGTTAAAGTATCCCACTATTATTGTGTGGGA
This sequence comes from Homo sapiens, assembly GCF_000001405.40. Lineage (NCBI taxonomy): Eukaryota > Metazoa > Chordata > Mammalia > Primates > Hominidae > Homo > Homo sapiens. The sequence continues at coordinate 100,234,995 of NC_000009.12, forward strand.
GTGTAAGTCTCTTTGTAGGTCTCAAAGAACTTGCTTTATGAATCTGGGTGCTCCTGTATTGGGTGCATATATATTTAGGATAGTTCGCTCTTCTTGTTATATTGATCCTTTTACCTTTAAGGAATTCCCTTCTTTGTCTTTTTTGATCTTTGTTGGTTTAAAGTCTGTTTTATCAGAGACTAGGATTGCAACCCCTGCTTTTTTTTTTTCTTTCCATTTGCTTGGTAAATCTTCCTCCATCCGTTTATTTTGAGCCTGTGTGTGTCTTTGCACATGAGATGGGTCTCTTGAATTCAGCACGCTGGTGGGTCTTGACTCTTTATCCAATTTGCCAGCCTTTGTCTTTTAATTGAGGCATTTAGCCCATTTACATTTATGGTTAATATTGTTATGTGTGAATTTGATCCTGTTATCATGATGCTAGCTGGTTATTTTGTACGCTAGTTGATAGTTTCTTCATAGTATGGTTGGTCTTTATATATTGGTATCTCTTTGCAGTGGCTGGTACCAGTTTTTCCTTCCCATATTTAGTGGTTCCTACAGGAACTCTTGTAAGGCAGGCCTGGTGGTGACAAAAATCCCTCAGCATTTGCTTATCTGTAAAGGATTTTATTTCTCCTTCACTTATGAAGCTTAGTTTGGCTGGATATGAAATTCTGAGTTGAAAATTCTTTTCTTTAAGAATGTTGAATATTGGCCCCCACTCTCTTCTGGCTTGTAGGGTTTCTGCAGAGAGATCTGCTGTTAAGTCTGATGGGTTTCCCTTTAAGGGTAACCTGATCTTTCTGTCTGGCGCCCCTTAACATTTTTTTCTTCATTTGAACCTTGGTGAATCTGATGATTATGTGTCTTGGGGTTGCTCTTCTTGAGGAGCATCTTAATGGTGTTCTCTGTATTTCCTGAATTTGAATATTGGCCTGTCTTGCTAGATTAGGGAAGTTCTCCTGGATAATATCCTGAAGTGTGTTTTCCAACTTGGTTCCATTCTCCTCATCACTTTCAGGTACACCAGCATAGGTTTGGGAAATAGTCCCATATTTCTTGGAGGCTTTGTTCATTCCTTTTCATTATTTTTTCTCTAACCTTGTCTTCATGCTTTATTTCATTAAGTTGATCTTCAGTCTCTGATATCCTTTCCTCCACTTGATCGATCCGGCTGTTGATACTTGTGTATGCTTCACGAAGTTCTCGTGCTGTGTTTTTTAGCTCCATCAGGTCATTTATGTTCTTCTATAAACTGGTTATTCTAGTTAGCAGTTCCTGTAATCTTTTATCAAGGTTCTTAGCTTCCTTGCATTGGGTTATAACATGCTCCTTTAGCTTGGAGGATTTTATTACCCACCTTCTGAAGTCTTCTTCTGTCAATTCATCAAACTCATTCTCTGTCCATTTTTGTTCCCTTGCTGGCAAGGACTTGTGATCTTTTGGAGGAGAAGAGGCATTCTGGTTTTTGGAATTTTCAGCATTTTTGCACAGGTTTTCCCTCATCTTCATGGATTTATCTACCTTTGATCTTTGATGCTGATGACCTTTGGATGGGATTTTTGTGTGGGTGTCCTTTTTGTTGATGTTGATATTATTGCTTTCTGTTTGTTAGTTTTCCTTCTAATAGTCAGGCCTCTCTTCTAGGGGCCTGCTGGAGTTTGCTGGAAGTCCACTTCAGACCCTGTTTGCGTGGGTATCACCAGCAGAGGCTACGGAACAGTAAAGATTGCTGCCTGTTCTTTCCTCTGGATGCTTTGTCCCAGATGGGCAACTGCTAGATTCCAGCTGGGGCTCTCCTGTATGAGGTGTCTGCCGACCCCTGCTGGGAGGTGTCTCCCAGTGAGGAGGCACAGGAGTCAGGGACCCACTTGGGGAGGCAGTCTTTCCCTTAGCAGAGCTCAAGCACTCTGTTGGGAGATCTGCTGCTTTCTTCAGAGCTGGCAGGCAGGAACATTTAAGTCTGCTGAAGCTGTGCCCACAGCCACTCCTTCCCCAGGTGCTCTGTCCTAGGGAGATGGGAGTTTTATCTATAAGCCCCTGACAGGAACTGCTGCCTTTCTTTCAGAGATGCCCTGCCCAGAGAGGAAGAATCTAGAAAGGCAGTCTGGCTATAGCGGCTTTGCTGCGCTGTGGTGGGCTCCGCTCAGTTCAAACTTCTTGGAGGCTTTGTTTACACTGTGAGGGGAAAACCGCCTACTCAAGCCTCAGTAATGGTGACACCCCTCCCCCCACCACGCTCAGGCATCCCAGGTTGACTTCAGACTGCTGTGCTGGCAGCGAGAATTTCAAGCTAGTGGATCTTAGCTTTCTGGGCTCCAGGGAGGTGGGACCCACTGAGCAAAACCACTTGGCTCCCTGGCTTCAGCCCCCTTTCCAGTGGAGTGAACGGTTTTGTTTCCCTGGGGTTCCAGGTGCCACTGGGGTACAAAAAAGAACTCCTGAAGCTAGCTCAGTGTCTGCCCAAACGGCCACCCAGTTTTGCGCTTGAAACCTAGGGCCCTGGTGCTGTAGGCACCCTAGGGAATCTCCTAGTCTGAAGGTTCTAAAAACCGTGAAAAAAGTGTAGTATCTGGGCCAGATACCGTCCCTGCCGGCACTGTGCATCACGGCTTCCCTTGACTAGGGGAGGGAGTTCCCTGATCCTTTGTGTTTCCCAGGTGAGGCGATGCCCTACCCTGCTTCTGCTCACCGTCTGTGGGCTGCACCCACTGTCTAACCAGTCCCAATGAGATGAACTGGGCACCTCAGTTGGAAATGCAGAAATCACTCACCTTCTGCATTGGTCTCACTGGGAGCTGCAGACCAGAGCTGTTCCTATTTGGCCATCTTGCTGAGTTGTCCTCTTGACTCCCTTTAGTATAGATCTTTCGGTGGTCAACTCTCTCTGGTTTTTTGTTTGTTTGGTTTTAGTTTTTTTGGGACAGAGCCTTGGGCTGTCTCCCAGGCTGGAGTGCAGTGATGTGATCTCAGCTCACTGCAACCTCTGCATCCTGGGTTCAAGTGATTCTCCTGCTTCATCCTCCTGAGTAGCTGGGACTACAGGCACATGCCACCACGCACAGCTAATTTTTATATTTTTAGTAGAGACGGGGTTTCACCATGTTGGCCAGACTGGTTTTGAACTCTTGGCCTCAAGTGATCCACCTACGTCAGCCTCCCAAAGTGCTGGGATTACAGGCATGAGCCACCACCCCCAGCCAACTCTCCTTTTTAATTGTTAAGAATGTATGCCTCTTGAAAAAAAAATGATTATCCTGTGTACACAGTCCTAGGAATCTATTTTTCTCAGCTCTTTCAGCATATTATTTTGCTACTTTCTGCCTTTTATTATTGCTCTTAAGGAGTCTGTTATTGGTCTGTCATTCCTTTATACATGATGTATCTTTTCTCTCAGGCTGCTTTTACATTTTGCTCTTTGTTTGGCATTCTACAGTTTTACTACAGTGTGTCTAGGTGTGGCCTTTTTAAAAAATCCTGTTTGGTATACATTCTGATTATTGCATCTCAGTTCTGCCAAACATATATAGCTGTTATCTTTAAATATCACCTCTCCTTCATTCCCTTTACTCTTGCCTTTAGGGTCTCCAATTATATATCTTTTAAGGCTTTTTATCTAATCCTCCATGTCTTTTAACTTCTCTTTTATATTCTCATCTCCTTGTCTCTTTCTGTTGCGTCCTAGGTAATGACATCAGATCTGTCTTCGAGTTTACTAAGTTTTTCTTCAAATAAGTCCAACCTGTTGTTTACCCTATCCATTGAACTGTTAATCTTTGTGATGACATTTTTCACTTCTAAAAGTTCTATTTGGTTCTTTTTCAAATCTGCCTGGTAATTTTGATAATGCTTGCTATAAAGATCCAGTAGAAAAATTAATTAACATTGTGAACTCACTAATAAACACATGATTAAAAAATCTCAACCCCATTCATAAATGAACTACAAGTTAAAATAGCAGTGAAATGTCTTTCATAACCATAAGGGAAAAATGCAGTAAGCTTGATAATACCAAATGATTAATTTCTGCCAGCATGTAGGGAAATAAAAACTTTTACATATTGTCATGGGAGTGTTAATTGGTAAGACCATTTGGAGAGTGATGTGACAATACCTGTTTGAAGATATCCTTCACCCCAGCAGTTCCCCTTCTAGCTGTCTAGCCTATGGAAAAATCTCACACATGTGCTACAAGGGATATGTAAAGGAAACATTAATTGCAGCATTGTCTGTAATAGTGAAAAAAAATGGGAATAGCCTAAATGTTCCTCAGTAGGAAAATAGATAACTATATTGTGGTTTATTCAAGCACCTCAATAATTGAACTATTACCAACATAGATATCCAAGGTATAGTGTTGAGAGAAAGAATTGCCAAAGGATACATGTCCGTTGCCATAATGTAAACATTTGAAAACACACATACAAAATTTATATATTGTTTATGGATACATACATATATACAAAAGTATAAAAACATACATCTTTAGTTGAATGATAACAGAAACAAAAGCATATCAGGCAAAATGTTGACACCTTTTTAATCTAGATAATCAGTATGTAATGGTTATATTATTTTCTGTACTTTTTATAATTAAATATGAAAATAATTTTTTAAAGATTTAGACTTTGTACCTTTTCCATGATTTATCACTTGTGCTGAGAGATAATGTAGAGGTCTTATTTCGAAAATTCCTCAGTTAATTCCTGTGCCAGGCTGGGCACAGTGACTCACACCATAATCCCAGCATTTTGGGAGGCTGAGGTAGGAGAATTGCTTGAGCCTAGGAATTCAAGACCAGCCTGAGAAACATGGCAATACCCCATCTCTACAAAAAACACAAAAATTAGCCAGGTGTGGTGGGATGTGCCTGTAGTCCCAGCTACTTGGGAAGCTGAGGCAGGATTGCTTGAGCCCAGGAGTTTGAGGCTGCAGTGAGCTGTGATCATGCCACTGTACTCCAACCTGGGTGACAGAACAAGACCCTGTCTCTAAAAAAGAAAGAAAGAAAAAAATACTTACACCAAATGTAATTTATTGAGGATTCCATGTATGTCTGAAGTCTCTGGTTCCTTCAAATCAGGATGCTGCTCCAACAGAGTCTTTACTGAACTGGCAAGACTACGAGGGTCGAACTCCTCTTCACTTTGCAGTTGCTGATGGGAATGTGACCGTGGTTGATGTCTTGACCTCATATGAAAGCTGCAATATAACGTCTTATGATAACTTATTTCGAACCCCACTGCACTGGGCAGCTTTATTAGGTACGTGACTCAAAGGATCAACAGTAAAAGGAACTTCATGAGTATAGGAATATTTCTGTGCCTTCCCTTCCACTGTTTACTCCCAACTCCTAGTTAATTATTTTGATTTCTAACTGATATGTTGCATTGTTTTATAAACTAAATTATAGTAATATAAATTTATTTTATGTTAAATATTAGTTTTAATTTCAACATCATATCTTCACTTTAAATTTTTGTTATAAAAGTAATTCACATTTAGTGACAACATGTGAATGTAACATAAACCTCTTTTCACATTCAGCGCCTATATTTTTGGGGAGGAGGGCTTTAATTTTATGTTTATGCTAATACTATGATATTTGAGTTTTTTTCTTTATATTTTCCTGAAATGCCTTTTACTTAACCTTTTTGAAGATCACTTTTATAGATGAGAGAGTGTATATATGTGTATGTTTTATGTGTATGTTGGGGTTTTTTGTGTGTGGAGTCAATCTGAGAGTCTTTCTCTTTCAATGAAGGAGTTTTACCCATTAATAGTCATTGTTATAAGATAAATAATCAGGTCTTTTTTTTTCCTGCTATCTTTCTATTCTTAGTGTTTTCAGCTTAACGTTTTGTTTTGTTTTGTTTCCTGTTTCCTTTGCTTTCTGCTCTTTGGTATATGGATTAGATTTGATGTTGTTATTTGATTTTGAATTGCCTAATGTTTTAGGAGGGTTTAGGAGTGGCTACTTTTAAATTTATCAAAAACTTTTTAAAGCCTGAATCAGAGTCAAGAGCAAAAATGCATCTATTGATTCCCACCTATTTAAGACAAAAAATTTAGCACAGATACTCATCACTCTTTTAGTACTTGTTAATGTAATCTGAGATTTCCCCCTAATTATTATAATCTTGATCTTAGTTTTTAAATTACACATTATCTTTTTTTTAAATGATGTTTATATGTGCACTCACTTTTATCGCCAGATTTAGAATTATTATTCAGATTTCATCTTACATCCCTTTTTATTTTTCTTCTGGATTCTGGGCTTACTTGGCAAATTTGTCTCCATGTAACTAAATTGACTTTTTGTTCTATAAGTTTTGCTTTCTTTCTGCCTCCTATATAGATTGTATTTTGGGTTCTATTTTTATTTCCTTGTCTTACCTATATTTCTTTTTATCTCATTTCATTTCCTTTTAACTTCCTTCCATTACTTTTTCATTTCACTCTGTTTTCTTCTTAGAATACCCTGTTTCTGTTTCATAGAAGCCATCTCTTTTTGCACTAAGTCGAGGATACCAGTTGCCTGAAATTTTCCTCTGGATCCTTCTCTAGATCATTTTCAGAGGTATGCTGCTTATCTTCCTGACAGTGTTTCTTTTTCACTTTCCTATAGTATGTTTTTTTGTAGTCCTTACTGAATTTTTCCCTTTATTTCTCAAACAAAATGATATGTGTTTAGAGTAACTATGTGGCAAAGATTGTCTTTAATCCCACATTTGTGTTATGGAGAACTCCATCTTAGACCACCTCTGGAGAGCAGATAGATGAACACAATTTCCACTCAAATTACTTTTCTCTGCTTGGCTTTTATGCAGTATATCCTTGCTCTGCTAATGGGGCATCTTCTTCATTCTCCAATATCTGAAAGCAATAGAGTGTATGAAATTTCAGGTTTCCTACGTATGCTACTACCAGGTTTATTCATTTTTTAATATTTTCTACAGCTCTTCACTTGTGGAGATCACATCCTCCAGAATGCACTACATTGTCTTCATCGCTGCCTTATCATGCCTGCCCACTTGTTTTCTGAGATTTGAAATCACTGCCTAGATGTTATAAAATATAAATATAATAAAAGATTGTGGAAAGGAGAATATAGGGATGGGAAGCCTCAGAGATAGAAGAGGTTGTGTTATAGTTTGTCCACCTGAATAGAAGAGAACAGTTATGCAGTTCTGTTTGGTTGGGCAACGGAACCTTGAGAGTAGGAGCAGTGAAGGCTAAGAGGGCTTGGCTCTAAAGCACCTTCCCCTCCTTTGCTTTAGGCAGCTTTATAAAGTGAAGCCAGGAAATGCAATGAGGTGATACCTAATATAGTTTTTTCTCAGCCTGGCAATTATACTTAATTCATTCCTACCTGATTGAAGCATTAAGTTTTTAGTAAGTTTTCATTCTGTTCTACCTCATATTAATATGTTAGTGAGAAGTTAGAAGAGGCTGCATTGGGGGCTGCTGTTCAGAAACCGTTGTGAATGCTGTATTATGTTAGTGATTTTTCTTATCTTTTTCATTTAAATAGATTATAAATTAATTAACATCCTTTATAAGTGATAATTACCTTTTTGTGTCTTTTCTCAGGCCATGCACAGATTGTCCATCTCCTTTTAGAAAGAAATAAGTCTGGAACTATCCCATCTGACAGCCAAGGAGCCACACCTTTGCACTATGCTGCTCAGAGTAACTTTGCTGTAAGTAAAACAAGACAATGCTCTTTTTTCTTAGTGAAAATTGTTATTTTTATATAATTGTAGATTCATATGTAGTTGTAGGAAATAATACAACAAGATTGCATGTACCCTTCACCTAGTTCACTCTGTTTTTATTTATTTATTTATTTATTTTTCCAATAAGCTTTTTGCACTCCTACACCTAATTCACTCTAATGATAACATCCAATACAATATCATAAACAGGAAATTGACATTGATACAATCCCTGATCTTATTCAGCTTTGCCCAGATTTACTTAGACTCATTTGTCTGTTTTTATGTAGCAATTATCTTTTAACAATGGTTCATGCTGTTCACTCTGTGATGCAAGTGATAGCCTGAGGTTTTTTTAAGTTGTTAGTCACATCTGAAGTTTTATACAGATTTTATTTTAATGTTAAGCATAACATTTTACTTTACTGTAAGAATACTTCATCTTTATATTACTTTTATAGCACTAAGAACATCTTAGTGTTCAGCCACGTGTAATTGTCCTTAAAGCAGTGTGGCAAGGCTTTGGAACTAGAACAATCTCGGCTAGAATCTTGTCTGTGCAGTTTGCTAAACTGTATTACCTTACACAAGTTTCTTAATCTTAGTTTCTTCATATGTAAGATGAGGATAATTATACCTTTTCTTCCAGGATTGTTGTAAAGATTAGAGAAAATTTATGACAAGTGCCTGCTGTATACCTTAGCATAGAGCAGGTACTCAAGAAATAGAATGTGCTCTCATTACTACTAGTGTTGATAATTATGTATATTATACGTCTGAGAATGCAAAAACGAATTATTTCCAAAAATACTGAATAGTATTCATAGTTCTTCCCCTCTACTTTCTCATCCATTATGTCCCCAGTCCACCCTGCAACATGATAGTGTCTAGGCTACTTCAGCTTCCTGAGTATGAATGACCATCAAGAACCAGATTCATCCAAGGATGCACATGTTAAAACAGATTTTGCTGCCTTCTACATGGGTATGCATAGTGAAACCCTTCGTTTCATCAAATTATAATAATACTATCAGGCCGGACACAGTAGCTCACACCTGTAATCCCAGCACTTTGGGAGGCAGAGATGGGCGGATCACCTAAGGTCTGGAGTTCGAGAACAGCCTGGCCAACATGGTGGAAACCCCGTTTCTACTAAAAATACAAAAATTAGCCGGGCGAAGTGGCTGGCGCCTGTAGTCTCAGCTACTTGGGAAGCTGAGGCAGAAGAATCACTTGAACCTAGGAGGCGGAGGTTGCAATGAGCCAGGATAGCGCCACTATACTCCAGCCTGGGCGACAGAGCAAGACTTCATCTCAAAAATAAATAAATAAATAAATAATACTATCATCAAGCGTAGTATAATTTCATCTTTGTGACCTCTCCAAATGCTCTATTAAATACTCAGATCTCTAAAATATCTTATCTTCACACACTTCCTACTCTGGTATCCAGAACAACTATTCCTATAATCCTTGCTTCTTGTATTCCTAATAACTTATTCAATTTACCACCTAGAGTTTTGACAAATCATTATCTATTATCACCTAACAAAGCAGTATTTTAGGAGAAGCTTTTTCTTATTACAAATAGATAGGAAATTAACCTGACCGAGTCTAGTCAATCTATGGAAATCACAGCTCAACCCATAAATCAACACAAGGCTATTAGATAAGTCATGTTATCCCCTGTTTACAGAAAACAAAACAAAACAAAACAAGGTTCCATGAGATTAAATGACTTGCTCATGGTCTTGAACCCAAAATTTAGACTCCAAATTTAATATATATATACAGACACCAATAATTAAATAGGTGTGCTAATGGAAACAAGAAAGAATGGTAGAACATTATTCTTTATAATGACTCAATAATATAATAATATAATAATTGTATTCAAAGAAATATTTTGTTGGATAATCTGCCAATTCCAGAGTTGATTTTTAATAATTATACAAATTATATAAGCTCAGTTTCAAGTCCCTTGATCTCCTTGTCCTCTATTAACTGACAAGAAATTACAACTCGTTCCTTGAAAAATGCAGACACATTCCCCTACACACACAGAGCCCTGTAAACATTCATCATTAAGTAAAAACATACTCAGCAAAGAAATGTTTGCAAATTAGTAAAAGAAAACAAAGCAAAAAATCACAAACTTTTACCTCAGTAACTCAACAAATAGTCTTAAAAGTAGAAAGCAGTGTGTGATGCTGTGGAAGGAGTGCTGTGATTTAACCCTGGATTCTTCCTTTATCTGCCACCAATATTTATATGACCTTGGAACCTACATTTCTTCATCAGTAAAATAAGGAACTGGATTAGATGAGCCCTTGAATTCTTCTTTCTATAAAATACTGAGAATCAACATTTTATACATTTTTGATCAGATCACAGCCTCCAGCACTTTTTGTCTGAAACTCTTTTACCTCCATTCAATCAAAAGTTTCTATGATCTTTCTAAAGTTTATGTGAGTCTGAGTTCAGAATAAAGAGGCAATTTAAAATGCTGGAATATTAACCCCCAATAAAATTGTCAGGCACTAATAGAATTGTCAAGGGTCCTAATTTTTTTTGTTGTTTTTGTTTTGTTTTTGTTTTTGTTTGAGATGGAGTCTCACTCTGTTGCCCAGGCTGGAGTGCAATGATGCAATCTCGGCTCACTGCAACCTCCGTCTCCCGGGTTCAATCAATTCCCCTGCCTCAACCTCCCGAGTAGCTGGGACTACAGGCATGTGCCACCATACCTGGCTAATTTTTTTTATATTTTAGTAGAGACGGGGTTTCACCATGTTGGCCAGGATGCTGTCAATCTCCTGACCTTGTGATCCACCCACCTCAGCCTCCCAAAGTGCTGGGATTACAGGCGTGAGCCACTGCGCCCGGCCCAGTCCTAATTTTTGTATGATTCCATAGAAGAAGGACAATTCAGTAATAAAGGAATTGCTGAATAAATATTTGTTTTAATGAATTCAGCACTGCATTTCTCAGTAACCATCAATCAGTATTCAATAAATGCATTAACCATTTCAAAAATGTTTAGTAACTAATCACATAGTTCCAGTTTGTTCTGGATTTAAGGCAAAAGCAAACAAACAAAAAACACAGTGAGAGAATGCAGAACCTTCTCTGGAGGCATGCCTGAATAGATGGATCTCATGTAAAATGTCCAAGAAAACATGTATTTTATGGGCCAGGTACAGTGGCTCATGCCTGTAATTCCAGCACTTTGGGAGGCCAAGATGGATGGATCACTTGAGGTCTGGAGTTCAAGACCAGCTTTGCCAACATGGTAAAACCCCATCTCTACTAATAATACAAAAATTAGCCGGGTGTGATGACACTCAGCTACTTGGGAGGCTGAGGCAGGAGAATCACTTGAACCTGGGAGGCAGAGGTTGCAGTGAGCCGAGATTGCACCACTGCACTCCAACCTGGGCAACAGAGTAAGACTCCCTCTCAAAAAAAAAAGAAAAAGAAAAAAGAAAAGAAGGAAAGAAAGAAAGAAAGAAAAAGGATGGAGAAGAGAAGAGAACAAGGCAGAAAGAAAGATTTAAATTTTGGTCATTAATAAATAAAACACTGAATACTTCTGAGTTTTCTAACTCTCACTCAAACGATGACCTATAAAGTTTCCAAGCTTGATTGAAGATGATTATTTTCCATTTTGAGGATGTTGAATGGGAGAGTTAGGTTATGTTTATGAAGTGTTATGGACACTACAACTAATTTGTAAGGACAGAGGATTGTTATCTTCGATGGAAATTGTAGTTCTGTCATTAATAAAAAGATAATTTAATTTGATTCAAAAGCAAGGGGAAAATGCTTTGCTTCTTAATGGAATTCACATATTATTATATGACTTTATTACCACAGAAAATACTACTGTTTTGTCTCCATTTTTTAAATCAAGTTTTCTTACAGGAAACGGTTAAAGTGTTTTTAAAACATCCTTCAGTGAAAGATGATTCAGACCTGGAAGGAAGAACATCCTTTATGTGGGCAGCTGGCAAAGGCAGTGATGATGTCCTTAGAACTATGCTGAGCTTAAAATCGGACATAGATATTAACATGGCTGACAAATATGGAGGTACAGGTGAGAACTGGTGGACACATTCAATTTGCTTTCATTTAGGTTCCAAAGTGTAGATGTTGCTATAAAATTTGTAAAATAGCAACTTGAAATCATTGTTCCTAATCTAATATTGTTTGACTTTGGTCTTCAGTTTTAAGTTTGGGTTTGCCAGGATGTCACTCCAAAGGTTTTATTTCTTCCAAGTATTATGGCAAAGATTAGCATGTTTCTACCAAATGAATGGTTGCATTTGGTTTAAAACCCTGGTTGCTCCTTAGACATGATTATGGGGACTCTTCTGATCATTTATCTTTTTGTAAAAAAAAAAAAACCTACACTTTAAAACTATCCATATTTAGTAGTCATGAATTATATTTTCAAAAATTTAGAATTTTATTTAAGGAATGCACACATCTAAGTGTATTCTCACCAGTCTCCTTTACTGTGCTCTTTTCTCAGTTTTGAATAGCATTACCACATCCTGAATCTCCCATTTTTAGAGAGAACCTCCCATGGCTCTAAGATGCTTCAAAGCTTCAAATCAACCTTGCTTGAAAAACTCTTACTAGATACTTCTTTTAATTTCTTTCTCTAATAGAAGAGGCCTTTACCTATGTGTTGGTTAATGAAAGGTAGTTTTTCTGCCTCAGTGTCAACTTGGAGGTCTCTTCCTTGTGTACTGTATCGTACTTACAACTCAGAAACAGAAGGAGAAATCACATACCACCACAATAACACTGAATAGAATAAAAAATCAGTGATGGGCTTCTCCATGTTATTTTTTTTATTTGTAGAAACATGCTAGAGCCATTTGCATCTACTGTTATCCTGAATAAGATTTTTCTTGGCCACCAAAACTACTGATGCAACAGTAGGGAGAGAGAAGGGAGGGGAGTTGCTTTACTTAAAAAAATCTCCCTCCCTATACCGAGACAACCACAGCCTCAAAAAAAAATATTTTAAGAAGACAATTCAATTTTACAATAAAGACTTTAACTTTCAAAAGTATTTCTCTATGAAAGCCTTACAGCAGATCTTAAATTTCTTTTTTTTTCTTTTTGAGACGGAGTCTCACTCTGTCACCCAGGCTGGAGTGCAGTGGCATGATCTTGGCTCACTGCAACCTCTGCCTCCCAGGTTCAAGCAAGTCTCCTGCCTCAGCCTCCCAAGTAGCTGGGACTGCAGGTGGACGCCACCACGCCCAGCTAATTTTTTTTTCTTTTTGTATTTTAGTAGAGGCGGGGTTTCACCATGTTGCCCAGGCTGGTCTCGAACTTCTGAGCTCAAGCAATCCACCTGCCTCGGCCTCCCAAAGTGCTGGGGTTACAGGTGTGAGCCACCGTGCCCGGCCAGCAGATCTTAAATTTCTTAAGGGGCATAGTGCAGACACATAGGATATTGACTTTATAAATGATCTGAACATTTAATTTTTTGTCAGTTTTCCATTATATATTCTTCCACTTTATCACTAGCTTTGATTTTAGTTTAACTTTTTCAGGTATTTGAATAAGGCATGGGCAAGGATACTTGCACTCTTTGACCAAAAGTATCTCATATGCACCATGGTTGAAGTTCAGACATAAATTCTTCTCAGATTCATTAATTTGCTGGTTTCTTTCTTCAATGGGGATTTTATTATGTCAGAGATGCCTTCCTGACATTTCTTTTCTGTGAAAGTGAGTTCCTCTCCGTCATCCCTCTACAGGGTTTTTTTTTTTCCTTCCCATTAAAAAGAGGTCTTACCAATAGCAATGTATGGACATTATTTAGATCCTGACTTAAATAAATAAACTATAAAAAATGTTAAAGCCATCAGGAAAATGTCAATATTATTGAACATTATAGAATTTCTATTAGTATTTTTTAGGCGTGATAACAGCATTATGGTTTTACCAGTGATTAAGCTATTGTCTCTCAGCTTCGTGTTGATCCTTTTGTCCTTTCTTTGCAATGCTGGGCCTGGGTCTCTGTAAATCACATTTCCCCTTTGCCACAGGTGCTCTTTTAGAGTCCACCAATAGAGAGCATTGGAGGGAGACTGGAAGGCTGGAAGATGGACAAGGGATTACATCTTTCTGTTTGTGTCCTGCTCTTGCTTTTGTCTCATTTTCTTTTTTTAGAAAAAAAAAGTTAAAAAATAATAATAATAGTAATAATAAGATGGGATCTCACTGTGTTGCCCAGGCTGGTCTCAAACTCCTGGGCTCAAGCGATCCTCCCACCTCAGCTTCTTCCCAAAGTGCTGAGAATATCATAAGGCAGATGAAAGCATCATATAATATCTGTGATATTTCAGTGATTTCACATTTGAAGAGCATAAGAACCCTTTTCCCCCAAATGAAAAGGGGGGAACCCTTTTCCCCCAAATGAAAATTTATAAAACACCTAACATATAAAGCAAGTAAGGGTTGAGTGGTTCTGACTAAATCAGAAGTGGAGCATTATCCACTCGACTGTCTATTCCCTCAGCTAAGTATTTCAGGTACCTCTATAGAAAGCTGTTGTTCTGAAGAACATGGTTTGGAAAACCCTGGGCTACATTTAGTTTTAAGGTGACTTCTAATTCTGAAATGCTACAATTCTGTGGTGTGGCATCAAGTATGAAATATACTCTATAGATAATATCAATGTCAAATTTTTTTAAAAAATAAAATTTCAATTAAGTAAAAGATAAAATTAATGATCATATTAAAGGAAATTCCCCATTTATGACTATTTGAATTTATTTTTATTTATTTATTTATTTGAGACAGAGTCTCACTCTCTTGCCCGGGCTGGAGTGCAGTGACATGATCTCAGCTCACTGCAACCTCCACCTCCCGGGTTCAAGTGATTCTTCTGTCTCAGCCTCCCTAGTAGCTGGGACTACAGGTGCCCACCACTATGCTGGCTAAGTTTTGTATTTTTAGTAGAGGCGGGGTTTCACCATGTTGGCCAGGCTGGTCTTGAACATCTGACCTCAAATGATCCACCCACCTCGGCCTCCCAAAGTGCTGGGATTACAGGCATGAGCCACCGCGCCTGGCCTGAATTTACTTTATTTAAAAATAACCTTAGGCCGAGCGTGGTAGCTCACGCCTGTAATCCCAGCACTTTGGGAGGCCGTGGCAGGTGGATCACCTGAGGTCAGGAGTTTGAGACCAGTCTGGTCAACGTGGTGAAACCCCGTCTCTGCTAACATTATAAAAATGAGCTGGGTGTGGTGGTACACGCCTATAATCCCAGCTATTTGGGAGGCTGAGGCAGAAGAATCGTTTGAACCTGGGAGGTGGAGGTTGCAGTGACCTGAGATTGAACCACTGCACTCCAGCCTGGATGACAGAGTGAGACTCCATCTCAAAAAATAAAATAAAAATAACCTTGAATTTAGCTATTGTTACTCCCTCTTTGAAAAGTGCTGTAAGTTTATATAGAAACTTAATTTTTTAAAAATATAACTTTATATTATGGAAATCTTCAAACACATTCAAAAGTAGACAGTTGTCCAGTGAACTCAATATAGCTCTCACCCAGCTTCAACAATTATCAATACGTGGCTAATCTTGTTTTATTTAACCACGATTCATTTCCTCTACTTCTGATTGTTTTGAAAAAAATTCTAGAGTCATATCCTTTCATCTGTAAATGTGAATGTTCTACCCTGTGCTGTCTTTCATGTTATAGCACTTCAGATATTTGAAGTTACTCACGCCTGTCTGAATCTTGTCTAGGTCAAACTAACATTCAGTCATTTAGGTCAGTGGTTCCCAAATTCAAGAATGGCATAAGAATTACTAGAGGTGTTTAAATTCAGATTCCCAGGCTATATGGACAAAGATTCTATGTCAAATCCCGTAGCAAGTCCTGTTGACTCCACCTCCAAAATGTGTTCTAAATCATTCTGTTTCTCTTCATCTCCATTGCAACCACCCTAATCAGACCACCATCATTTTTCACTCAGTCTACTGCCAAAATCCTTACTGGTCTCCCTGCTTATATTCTAATCTACTACAAATACTTTCTCCTCAGAAGAGCTAGAGTGATCTGTTTAAAGCATAAATCAGATAATATCACTCCACTATATAAAGCCCTTCAAATGTCTTCCATCACTGACTGATAGGACCATTTGTGATCTGGCCTTTTCTATGTTTCTGACTTACTCCACTGTCACTTACTGTGCTGCAACTACCCTTCCTTCCTTAAACATACACAGTCGTTCCTGTCCTGTACTAACTCTTCCCTTTGCTCAAAATACGCTGTCTTTTTCATGGTTCAGGTCTCAACTTAAATGTCAGCTCATAACCACCAATCAAAAGTAGTCCCTCAGTGATTCTACATATCAAAATAGTTTTTATTACTTTAATTATACCAATTATCACTATATAATAACTTTATTGATGGGGAATTGTTTTGTTTTTGTTTTGTTTTGTTTTGTTTTTGTTTTGTTTTGCTTCCCTTCCTAGAATGTAACCTTATCTATTGTATTCTTTGCTAAACACCCAGCATTATAATACTACCCAGCCCAAAAATCTGCATCCAGGTTTGCTCTGTGGATCACCCTTTATGAAAGAGACATTGTTCTAGGCCTTATAGAGCCATAATACTTAGAACTGGCCAAGGCCTCTAAAGTGTTATTGTGGCTAATTCAAACCTATAGAGGGATGGCATAAGCCAAGCATTACACTGGAGTAACATAGAGAGGAGTCAGTGTACATGAAACACATTTAATCAAAATTACTCTTTAAAACCTCTGGACAGCACAAGAGAGGAGGCCATATTCCATCTCAGTTTTTCTCCAGTGAAGCAAATTCCTGTTTCTTTTCTTTTCTTTTTTTGAGATGAGGTCTTTCTATTTTCTCCAGACTGGTCTAGACCTATTGGGTTCAAGCAGTCCTCCTGCCTCAGCCTCCCAAGTAGCTGGGACTATAGACATGTGCCACCTCGCTGTTTCTTAAATTGAGCCCTGGGGAAGTAGCTGGCTTGTAGCTGATATTGTATTAAAAATGCACTCAATGCAGCAAGATGTGCGTGCTTTCAGTACCACTGGGGTACTTCAGCCAACTGAAGGAACAGTGCATGTAACCAATGGAAGGAACAGTAGATTGATGTCTCCAGTCACATGACCCCTTAGGGGCATATGCTTATTGAGTGGGTTGTTGGGCAGAATTGTGTACATCATTTAAATCATTCCTCTTTGTTATTGTTTTCTTGCTCTCTTAAAGAGAAAAAGAGAAAACTAATAGCTGAAAAGAGAAAACTAGTAGCTGAGAAGAGGATACCATTTCAGACCAACAGGATGGAAAGGAAGAAAATAGCAAGAAGAGAAAGGTAGAAGGAAAGGAGAAAGTGTGAGTAATACATATGAATAGGAAGGAAGGCAGAATCTAAAAAAGCAAAAAATAAATTAGTGAATCCTTAAAATGGAGATTGCATTTATTCAAAATGATGGGGAAATCAAGAGAGGAAAAGACATATAATAATTTAAAAGGTGAAGTTGTTATTGACTAGTTCATCACTTTCTGTTGGTTCCCTTTTAGCTTTGCATGCTGCTGCTCTTTCTGGCCATGTCAGCACCGTGAAGTTATTACTGGAAAATAATGCTCAAGTAGATGCTACTGATGTTATGAAACATACTCCACTTTTCCGAGCCTGTGAGATGGGACACAAAGATGTGATTCAGACACTCATTAAAGGTGGGCTAATAAGAGTACTCCTAATAAGTCTCTCTTAACAGGTAGGAATTCTTGCATACTCTGTTTAAGATAAAGCTTTCCTTAGCAGAAAGCTGCACAAGTACAAGGATGAAGGGATGATCACACAACATGGCATGAGGAACCTCAAGTTCTACTCCTAGCTCCACTTGTTGGGAGTTGCTTGATACAGGAAAAGTAATTTCACCTGCCTGATCTTCACTTTTATTTTATATAAAGGGGGACTGATTCCTAGCCAGTCCAATTTACAAGCTTATTGTAAAAATCTGATGTAGACAACGTATGTGGAAGCATTTCCATAAGAATAAAGCATTAAAGGAACAATTGTTATTGTTTTTCTTCTATTCATTTTAATAAATGCATTTAAGGAACAATTGTTTTTTCTACTCCTACTCATTTTAATAAAAGCTATTTATATTAGACATTCTCATTATATTTGTGCTTTTCCAGGTGGAGCAAGGGTAGATCTAGTTGACCAAGATGGACATTCTCTTCTACATTGGGCAGCACTGGGAGGAAATGCTGATGTTTGCCAGATATTAATAGAAAATAAGATCAATCCAAATGTCCAGGATTATGCAGGAAGAACCCCTTTGCAGTGTGCAGCATATGGAGGCTATATCAACTGCATGGCAGTTCTCATGGAAAACAATGCAGACCCTAACATTCAAGACAAAGAGGTAGAAATTCTGTCTTTTCTATATTGTTTGCTCCAAAGAATTTAGAGTATTTCTTCTTTGTTGTAAACATAAGTAAAACAACAGTTTACAAGATGAAGAGATCACCCACAAATCCATCTGTTAATCATGACTATTATTTGTCCATGTTCTCTTCCAGTCTTTTTCTATATATATAATTTAACATAGTTATAATATAGGCTGGGAATAATTTTATAACTTTTATAAAAGATTACATGGCATACACATGTATGCATCTATAAACATAAATATATGATTTTCTTTTTTTTTTTAATTATACTTTAAGTTCTAGGGTACATGTGCACAACGTGCAAGTTTGTTACATATGTATATATGTGCCATGTTGGTGTGCTGCACCCATTAACTCATCATTTATATTAGGAATATCTCCTAATGCTATCCCTCCCTGCTTCCCCCATCCCACACCAGCCCCCGGTGTGTGATGTTCCCCACCCTATGTCCAAGTGTTCTCATTGTTCAATTCTCACCTATGAGTGAGAACATGCGGTATTTGGTTTTCTGTCCTTGCGATAGTTTGCTGAGAATGATGGTTTCCAGCTTCATCCATGTCCCTACAAAGGACATGAACTCATCTTTTTTTTGTGGCTGCATAGTATTCCATGGTGTATATGTGCTGTATTTTCTTAATCCAGTCTATCATTGATGTACATTTGGGTTGGTTCCAAGTCTTTGCTATTGTGAATAGTGCCGCAATAAACATACGTGTGCATGTGTCTTTATAGCAGCATGATTTATAATCCTTTGGGTATATGCCCAGTAATGGGATGGCTGGGTCAAATGGTATTTCTAGTTCTAGATCCTTTAGGAGTCGCCACACTGTCTTCCACAATGGTTGAACTAGTTTACAGTCCCACCAACAGTGTAAAAGTGTTCCTATTTCTCCACATCCTCTCCAGCACCTGTTGTTTCCTGACTTTTTAATGATCGCCATTCTAACTGGTATGAGATGGTATCTCATTGTGGTTTTGATTTGCATTTCTCTGATGGCCAGTGATGATGAGCATTTTTTCATGTGTCTGTTGGCTGTATAAATGTCTTCTTTAGAGAAGTGTCTGTTCATGTCCTTCGCCCACTTTTTGATGGGGTTGTTTGATTTTTTTCTTGTAAATTTGTTTAAGTTCTTTGTGGATTCTGGATATTAGCCCTTTGTCAGATGGGTAGATTGTAAAAATTTTCTCCAGTTTGAAGGTTGCCTGTTCACTCTGATGGTAGTTTCTTTTGCTGTGCAGAAGCTCTTTAGTTTAATTAGATCCCATTTGTCAATTTTGGCTTTTGTTGCCATTGCTTTTGGTGTTTTAATCATGAAGTCCTTGCCCATGCCTATGTCCTGAATGGTATTGCCTAGGTTTTCTTCTAGGGTTTTTATGGTTTTAGGTCTAACATTTAAGTCTTTAATCCATCTTGAATTAATTTTTATATAAGGTATAAGGAAGGGATCCAGTTTCAGCTTTCTACATGTGGCTAGCCAGTTTTCCCAGCACTGTTTATTAAATAGGGAATCCTTTCCCCATTGCTTGTTTTTGTCAGGTTTGTCAAAAATCAGATGATTGTAGATGTGTGGTATTATTTCTGAGGGCTCTGTTCTGTTCCATTGGTGTATATCTCTGTTTAGGTGCCAGTACCATGCTGTTTTGGTTACTGTAGCCTTATAGTACAGTTTGAAGTCAGGTAGCGTGATGCTTCCAGCTTTGTTCTTTTGGCTTAGGATTGTCTTGGCAATGCGGGCTCTTTTTTGGTTCCATGTGAACTTTAAAGTAGTTTTTTCCAATTCTGTGAAGAAAGTCATTGGTAGCTTGATGGGGATGGCATTGAATCTATAAATTATGTTGGGCAATATGGCCATTTTCACGATATTGATTCTTCCTATCCATGAGCATGGAATGTTCTTCCATTTGTTTGTGTCCTCTTTTATTTCATTGAGCAGTGGTTTGTAGTTCTCCTTGAAGAGGTCCTTCACATCCCTTGTAAGCTGGATTCCTAGGTATTTTATTCTCTTTGAAGACATTGCGAATGGGAGTTCACTCATGATTTGGCTCTCTGTTTGTCTGTTGGCATATAGGAATGCTTGTGATTTTTGTACATTGATTTTGTATCCTGAGACTTTGCTGAAGTTGCCTATCAGCTTAAGGAGATTTTCGGCTGAGACAATGGGGTTTTCTAAATATACAATCATGTCATCCGCAAACAGGGACAATTTGACTTCCTCTTTTCCTAATTGAATACCTTTATTTCTTTCTCCTGCCTGATTGCCCTGGCCAGAACTTCCAACACTGTGTTGAATAGGAGTGGTGAGAGAGGGCATCCCTGTCTTGTGCCAGTTTTCAAAGGGAATGCTTCCAGTTTTTGCCCATTCAGTATGACATTGGCTGTGGGTTTGTCATAAATAGCTCTTATTATTTTGAGATACGTCCCATCAATACCTAGTTTATTGAGAGTTTTTAGCAGGAAGGGCTGTTGGATTTTGTCAAAGGCCTTTTCTGCATCTGTTGAGATAATCATGTGGTTTTTGTCTTTGATTCTGTCTATATGATGGATTACATTTATTGATTTGTGTATGTTGAACCAGCCTTGCATCCCAGGGATGAAGCCCACTTGATCATGGTGGATAAGCTTTTTGATGTGCTGCTGGATTTGGTTTGCCAGTATTTTATTGAAAATTTTTGCATCGATGTTCATCAGGGATATTGGTCTAAAATTCTCTTTTTTTGTTGTGTCTCTGCCAGGCTTTGGTATCAGGATGATGCTGGCCTCATAAAATGATTTAGGGAGGATTCCCTCTGTTTCTATTGATTGGAATAGTTTCAGAAGGAATGGTACCAGCTCCTCTTTGTACCTCTGGGAGAATTTGGCTGTGAATCCATCTGGTCCTGGACATTTTTTGGTTGGTAGGCTATTAATTGTTGTCTCAATTTCGGAGCCTGTTATTGGTCTATTCAGGGATTCAACTTCTTCCTGGTTTAGTCTTGGGAGGGTATGTGTGTCCAGGAATTTATCCATTTCTTCTAGATTTTCTAGTTTATTTGCATAGAAGTGTTTATAGTATTCTCTGATAGTAGTTTGTGTTTTTGTGGGATTGGTGGTGATATTCCCTTTATCATTTTTTATTGCATCTATTTGATTCTTCTCTCTTTTCTTCTTTATTAGTCTTGCTAGTTGTCTATCAGTTTTGTTGATCTTTTAAAAAAAACCAGCTCCTGGATTCATTGATTTTTTGAAGGGTTTTTTGTGTCTCTATCTCCTTCAGTTCTGCTGTGATCTTAGTTATTTCTTGCCTTCTGCTAGCTTTTGAATGTGGTTGCTCTTGCTTCTCTAGTTCTTTTAATTGTGATGCTAGGGTGTCAATTTTAGATCTTTCCTGCTTTCTCTTGTGGGCATTTAGTGCTATAAATTTCCCTTTACACAGTGTTTTAAATGTGTCCCAGAGATTCTGGTGTGTTGTGTCTTTGTTCTCATTGGTTTCAAAGAACATCTTTATTTCTGCCTTCATTTTGTTATGTACCCAGTAGTCATTCAGGAGCAGGTTGTTCAGTTTCCATGTAGTTGAGTGGTTTTGAGTGAGTTTCTTAATCCTGAGTTCTAATTTGATTGCACTGTGGTCTGAGAGACAGTTTGTTGTAATTTCTGTTCTTTTACATTTGCTGAGGAGTGCTTTACTATGTTGTCAATTTTGGAATAAGTGCAATGTGGTACTGAGAAGAATGTATATTCTGTTGATTTGGGGTGGAGAGTTCTGTAGATGTCTATTAGGTCCGCTTGGTGCAGAGCTGAGTTCAAGTCCTGGATATCCTTGTTAACTTTCAGTCTTGTTGATCTGTCTAATGTTGACAGTGGGGTGTTAAAGCCTCCCATGATTATTGTGTGGGAGTCTAAATCTCTTTATAGGTCTCTAAGAACTTGCTTTATGAATCTGGGTGCTCCTGTATTGGGTGCATATATATTTAGGATAGTTAGCTCTTCTTGTTGAATTGATCCCTTTACCATTATATAATGGCCTTCTTTGTCTCTTTTGATCTTTGTTGGTTTAAAGTCTGTTTTATCAGAGACTAGGATTGCAACCCCTGCCTTTTTTTGTTTTCCATTTGCTTGGCAGATCTTCCTCCATCCCTTTATTTTGAGCCTATGTGTGTCTCTGCACATGAGATGGGTTTCCTGAATACAGCACACTGATGGGTCTTGACTGTATCCAATTTGCCAGTCTGTGTCTTTTAATTGGAGCATTTAGCCCATTTACATTTAAGGTTAATATTGTTATGTGTGAATTTGATCCTGTCATTATGATGTTAGCTGGTTATTTTGCTCTTTAGTTGATGCAGTTTCTTCTTAGCATCGATGGTCTTTACAATTTGGCATGCTTTTGTAGTGGCTAGTACCAGTTGTTCCTTTCCATGTTTACTGCTTCCTTCAGGAACTCTTGTCAGGCAGGCCTGGTGCTAACAAAATCTCTCAGCATTTGCTTGTCTGTAAAGGATTTTATTTCTCCTTCACTTATGAAGCTTAGTTTGGCTGGATATGAAGTTCTGGTTTGACAATTCTTTTCTTTAAGAATGTTGAATATCGGCCCCCACTCTCTTCTGGCTTGTAGAGTTTCTGCCAAGAGATCTGCTGTTAGTCTGATGGGCTTCCCTTTGTGGGTAACCCGACCTATCTCTCTGGCTGCCCTTAACATTTTTTCCTTCATTTCAACTTTGGTGAATCTGACAATTATGTGTCTTGGAGTTGCTCTTCTCGAGGAGTATCTTTGTGGCATTCTCTGTATTTCCTGAATTTGAATGTTGGCCTGCCTTTCTAGGTTGGGGAAGTTCTCCTGGATAATATCCTGAACAGTGTTTTCCAACTTGGTTCCATTCTTCCCGTCACTTTCAGGTACACCAATCAGATGTAGATTTGGTCTTTTCACATAGACCCATATTTCTTGGAGGCTTTGTTCATTTCTTTTTACTCTTTTTTCTCTAAACTTCTCACTTCATTTCCTTCATTTGATCTTCAATCACTGATACCCTTTCTTCCACTTGATCGAATTGGCTACTGAAGCTTGTGCATGCCTCATGTAGTTCTTGTGCCATGGTTTTCAGCTCCATCAGGTCATTTAAGGTCGTTTCTATGCTTTTTATTCTAGTTAGCCATTCGTCTAATCTTTTTCCAAAGTTTTTATCTTCTTTGCAATGGGTTCGAACATGCTCCTTTAGCTCGGAGAAGTTTGTAATTACCGATCGTCTGAAGCCTACTTCTGTCGACTCGTCAAAGTCATTCTCCATCCAGCTTTGTTGTGTTGCTAGCGAGGAGCTGTGTTCCTTTGAAGGAGAAGAGGCACTCTGATTTTTAGAATTTTCAGCTTTTCTACTCTGGTTTCTCCCCATCTTTGTGGTTTTATGGTCTTTGGTCTTTGGTCTTTGATGATGGTGATGTACAGATGGGATTTTGGTGTGGATGTCCTTTCTGTTTGTTAGTTTTCCTTCTAACAGTCAGGACCCTTAGCTGCAGGTCTGTTGGAGTTTGCTGGAGATCCACTCCAGACCATGTTTGCCTGGGTATCACCAGCGGAGGCTGCAGAACAGCAAATATTGCAGAACGGCAAATGTTGCCGCCTGATCCTTCCTCTGGAAGCTTCGTCTCAGAGGGGCAACTGGCTGTATGAGGTGTCAGTCGGCCCCTACTGGGAGATGTCTCCCCGTTAGGCTATTGGGGGTCAGGGACCCACTTGAGGAGGTAGTCTGTCCATTCTCAGATCTCAAACTCCATGCTGGGAGAACCACTACTCTCTTCAAAGCTGTCAGACAGGGTCGTTTAAGTCTGCAGAAGTTTCTGCTGCCTTTTGTTCAGCTATGTCCTGCCCCCAGAGGTGGAGTCTACAAAGGCAGGTAGGCCTCCTTGAGCTGCGGTGGGCTCCACCCAGTTCGAGCTTCCTGGCCGGCCGCTTTGTTTACCTACTCAAGCCTCAGCAATGGCGGACGCCCCTCCCCCAGCCTCGCTGCTGCCTTGCAGTTCGATCTCAGACTGCTGTGCTAGCAGTGAGTGAGTCTCCGTGGGCGTGGGACCCTCTGAGCCAGGTGTGGGATATAATCTCCTGGTGTGCCGTCTGCTAAAACCATTGGAAAAAGCGCAGTATTAGGGTGGGAGTGTCCCGATTTTCCAGGTACCATCTGTCACGGCTTTCCTTGGCTAGAAAAAGGGAATTCCCCGACCCCTTGCACTTTCTGGGTGAGGTGATGCCCCACCCTTCTTTGGCTCACACTCCATGGGCCACACCCACTGTCCAGCAAGCCCCAGTGAGATGAACCCGGTACCTCAGTTGGAAATGCAGAAATCACCCGTCTTCTTCATCACTCATGCTGAGAGCTGTAGACTGGAGCTGTTCCTGTTTGGCCATCTTGGAACTGGGGCCTTTTTTTTTTTTTTTTTCCTCCCAGGCTGGAGCGCAGTGGTGCAATCTTGGCTCACTGCAACCTCCACCTCCCGGGTTCAAGCGATTCTCTTGCCTCAGCCTCCTGAGTAGCTGAGAGGGTACTTGGCCTCTCAGGCATCCACCACCATGCCTGGCTAATTTTTGTATTTTTAGTAGAGACGGGGTTTCGTCACATTGGCCAGGCTGGTCTCGAACTCCTGATCTCAGGTGATCCGCCCGCCTCGGCCTCCCTAAGTGCTGGGATTACAGGCATGAGCCACCACACCTGACCCTATTACATGATTTTCTTTTCTTTTCTTTTTTTGTTTGTTGAGATGGAGTCTCGCTTCGTCACCCAGGCTGGAGTGCAGTGGCACCATCTCTGCCCATTGCAACTTCTGCCTCCTGGGTTCAAGTGATTCTTCTGCCTCAGCCTCCTGAGTAGCTGGGATTACAGGCGCACACCACCATGCCCAGCTAATTGTTGTATTTTTAGTAGAGATGGGGTTTCACCATGTTGGCCAGGCTGGTCTCAAATTCCTGACCTTGTGATCTGCCTACCTCAGCCTCCCAAAGTGCTAGGATTACAGATGTGAGCCACCATGTCCGACCTATTACATTTTCTTTTCTTTTTTTTTTTTTTTTTTTTGAGACAAGAGTCTCATTCTTTCACCCAGGCTGGAGTGCAGTGGCACAACCTCGGCTTACTGCAACCTCCACCTCCCAGGTTCAAGCGATTCTTCTGCCTCAGCCTCCCGAGTAGCTGGGATTACAGGCATGCACCACCACATCTGGCTAATTTTTATAATGTTTTTAGTAGACACAGGATTTCACCATGTTGGTCAGTCCGGTCTCGAACTCCTGACCTCGTGATCCACCCACCTTGGCCTCCCAAAGTGCTGGGATTACAGGTGTGAGCCACCGTGCCTGCCTATTACATGATTTTCAAACCACATTTTGTTTACTTAAAATTGTCACCGTTTTCTCATGTGATATATAATCTTTTTAATTATCATGAATGCTTAAAATTCCAAGGTTCCAAGAACTTTATGTTTAATAGCTTATTCAATCCTTACAATAATCTTATAAAGTAGTTACTATTATTATTCTCATTTTACAGATGAGGAAATTGAAGCTCATGTAGTTTAAGTAGTTAGCCTAAGATAACAACAGTGGGGGAAGCTTGGGGGGAGATTTAATATCCAAACTATGCTCTTAACCCAAATATAGGTTAAATAAGTAACTTCCTATTGCTGGTCACTTTTTCACTATTATAGGTAATGTTTCAGTAATTATCTTTGTGCATTTAACTTTTTTCCTTTGGGATTATCGCATTAGAATAATTCCCCCTAAGTGAGATTATCAAATCAAAGCAACCAATCGTTTATTAATATGATTAGGCTCTCATATATACTGCCAAACTGATTTCTAAAAGATTCAGGTTAATCTTTACTTTCCCCAGTTGCGTAGTATTAATTTATCTCAGTTTAGCCAGTATTAACTTTTTTGCTAATTAAATTATTTTAACTCTTTAAAAATATTTGCATGTTAATTATGTTTTCCAAGTCAGAAAATTAGCTGTCCCTATTAACTCAAGTCCCTATGAACTCATTGAACAAGTATTTATCAAGATTGTTACTGTATGTAAAAGTAACAAAGAAAAGTATGTAAAATATGGTCCATGTCTTTATGATACTAGGAATGCATCTTTTTTTTTTTTTTTTTTGAGACAGAGTCTCGCTCTGTCACCCAAGCTGGAGTGCACTGGCCCAGTCTCAGCTCACTGCAAGCTCCACCTCCCGGGTTCGCGCCATTCTTCTTGCTTAGCCTTCCAAGTAGCTGGGACTACAGGTACCTGCCACCATGCCTAGCTAATTTTTTTTTGTATTTTTAGTAGAGACGGGGTTCAACATGTTAGCCAGGATGGTCTCGATCTCCTGATCTTGTGATCCGCCTGCCTTAGCCTCCCAAAGTGCTGGGATTACAGGCATGAGCCACCGCACCTGGGAGGAATGCATCTTTTATAATTTGTAGTACTTTTAATGTTTTACCAAGTTGCCAGTTTTTTACATAAGTAGAATATTAAGCATCTTTCCAGTTCTATTAGCTGCTATGTGTATTGCTTTGGATTGTCTACATAAGCAATCATGCATGCTATCTGTGAATAATAACATTTTTATTTCTTCATTTCCAATCTTTATACTTTTCATTTCTTTGCTGTGCCATATTGAATTGGAACCTTCAATACAATCTTGAATAGAATTGGTGATAATTGGCATCCTTAATTAATTCTGGTTTCTCAGATGGCAAGCTTTCAACATTTTACCATTGAGTAAGATGTTGCTATAGATTTCCTTATATTCCCACTTGCCAAGAGTTTTTTTAAATCATAGTTGGGTTTTTGTCAAATACTATTTATGCATTTATCAACAAGATTTTTTTTTCCTCTTTTCTGTTAATATGGCAAATTACATTGACTGATTTTTTTTTTAGATGTTAAACAACCCTTGCATTTCTGGAGTAAGCCCCATATATATTATGTACTTTTATATACTGATGTATTTTACCTGCTAATATTTTAAGATTTTTGCGTCTATGTTTATGAGAGAGATTGGCCTATAATTTTCCTTTCTTGTATTATAGTTGCAAGGTTTTGGTAGCAAGGTAAGGCTAACCTTGTCAAAAAAAAAAAGTTAGAAAATAGTCCCTTGTTTTTATTCTCTTGGAGAATAAAATTGGTATTACTTCTTCCTTAAATGTTTGGAAGAATTTCCTCTTGAAGTTATCTGGTGTTGGGGTTTTCTTTGTGTAAAAGTTTTAAATAACCAATTCAATTCCATTAATTATTCAGATTTTCTAATTATTTTTCTTTCAGCTTGGTAAGTTGTACTTTTTAAGGAATTTATTCATTTTATTCAAAATGTCAAATGTATTTGCATAAATTTTGTCACACACATATTCCCTTATCTTTTTTATGCCTGTAGGACCTGTAGTGAGTTCCTCTTGTTTATTTCATATATTGGTAATGTGTGTTTTCTCTTTCTTTTTTAAAAATTTTCTTTATTCCTTACCTGGAGCACTAAAAAAAAAAAAAAAAAAAAAAACTTGATATTCATCTCCTCAAAGGACTTATTTCTGTCTTTGTGGATTTTCTATATTTTGAGATTTTGGGTTTTTTTGTTTGCTTGTTTGTTTGTTTGTTTCTTAAGACAGTATCTCACTCTGCCACCCAGGCTGGAGTGCAGTGGCATGATCATGGCTCATTGTAACCTCAACCTTCCCAGGCTCGGGTGATCATCCCACCTCAGCCTCTTGAGTAACTGGGACTACAGGTGCACACCACCACACCTGGCTAAATTTTTTGTATTTTTAGTAGAGAAGGGGTTTCACCATGTTGCCCACGGCTGTTCTTGAACTCCTGAGCTCAAGCAATCTACCTGCCTCAGCCTACGAAAGTGCTAGGATTACAGGCATGAGCCACTGCAACTGGCCTGTATTTTGAGTTTGTTTACTATTTCATTGGTCTTGCTCCTGTCTTTTTTATTTTCTAACTTCTAATTTCTATTTCCTAATTTCTATTTTGGTTTATTCTCTGACACATAGATTATTTAGAAGTGTACTGTTTAATTTTCAGTCAGTTGAGTGTTTTCTCATTTTTTAAATTGATTATATTAGTTATGTATTGCTGCTGTAACAAATTACCACAGGTTTAGTGGCTTAGAACAACACAGATTTATTATCTTACCATTCTAGATGTCAGAAATTCAAACTGGGCCTTACTGGGTTAAAAATCAAGGTGTCACCAGGACTGCTTTTCTTTTGGTGGATCTAGGAGAGGATCCATTTTTTTAATTTTTTAGTTTCTCAAGGCTGCCCACATTCCTTGGCTGATGACCCCATTCCTCCATCTTCAAAGCCACATTGGCTGGTTGAGCCTTTCTCTGTATCACTTATCTGTATAATTCTTACACTCACCCTCCTGACTCCCTGTTTCCCTTATAAGGACCCTTGTGATTAGATCAGGCCTACCCAGATAATCCAGGATAATCTTCCCATCTCAAGTTCAGCTGATTAGCAATCTTAATTCCATCTACAACCTTAATTCTTCCTTCTCATGTAACATAACATATTCACAGGTACCAGGCACTAGGATATGGACATCTTTGTGAGGGAGTGCATTATTTTTTTTGGAACTTTATGGCCCAGCATATGATTGATTTTGGGAAATGTTCTATGTACATGTGAAAAGAGCACTAACTCTGTCCTTGTTGGATGCAGTGTTTTTTATTTATATATATATCACTTAGGGCCCATTTTTCAAAGTCTGTTGTTTAGGTCTTATATATCTTTACTGCTCTTTTGTCTGCTCTATCAGTTGTTTTTAAAAGATAAGTTAAAATCCCACTATGACTATGGACTTGACTATCTTCCTTTTTAATTTTGTCGATTTTTCCCTTGTATATTTGGAAGCTTTGTTATTAGATGCACACAAGTTTAGCATTGTGATATCTTCCTTTTTGACTCCTTTAACACTATGAAGTGTCCCTCTTTATGTCTAGCAATGCTTCATCTCTTCTTTATCTTTCATGACATTGAACTTTTTAAAGAATACAAGCCATTTATTTTATAGAATTTGACTCAATTTGTGTTAGTCTTATGTTCCCTCATAATTAGATTCAGGTTTCACATTTTTGGTTGGAATATTACATAAGTAATATGAATCCTTCTAAGGGTATTACCTCTGGAGATATATGATGCCCCTTATCACAGCCTTAATTGGCCAGGCATGTTGGCTCACGCCTGTAATCCCAGCACTTTGGGAGGCTGAGGCGGGTGGATCACCTGAGGTCAGGAGTTTGAGACCAGCCTGGTTAACATGACAAAACCCTGTCTCTACTAAAAATACAAAAATTAGCTGGGCATGGCGGCGGGCACCTGTAATCCCAGCTACTTGGGAGGCTGAGGCAGGAGAATTGCTTGCACCTGGGAGGTGGAGGTTGCAGTGAGCTGAGATCTCACCATTGCACTCCAGCCTGAGCGACGAGAGCGAAACTCCGTCTCAAAAAAAAAAAAAAAATAGTGTTAATTATGAGCTCTTGGATCAAATATCATTTGCTTTCTCCACTGTATATTTAATATTTTCCCTTTTTGTAAATAAGCAATTTGGAAAAATGATTGCTTATATTAATTTTGAATTAGCATAAATAACCACATATCCAAAAATACTTACTCCAGATGTACTTGATTTTTGTTTATGCTTATAGGGAAGAACAGCTTTGCATTGGTCCTGCAACAATGGATACCTTGATGCCATTAAATTACTGCTAGACTTTGCTGCTTTCCCTAATCAGATGGAAAACAATGAAGAGAGGTAAGTTGTTGTTGACTTTTTTTTTTTTTTTTGAGATGGCTTCTCGCCCTGTCACTCAGGTTGGGTTGCAGTGGCACGATCTTGGCTCACTGCAACCTTCGCCTCCTGGGTTCAAGCAATTCTTCTCCTTCAGCCTCCTGAGTACCTGGGATTACAGGCATGCACGATCACACCTGGCCAATTTTTTTGTATTTTTAGTAGAGATGGGGTTTCACCATGTTAGCTAGGGAGGTCTCGAACTCCTCACCTTGTGATCCACCCACCTCGGCCTCCCAAAGTGCTGGGATTATAGGCGTGAGCTACCATGCCCAGCCAAGTTGTTGACTTTTTTTTAAAAAAAGTGCTCTTTATCATACATCCTTTCTACCAGATTTTTTAAATCTCAAGGTTAGATATTGTTCAGAAATAATAACTATACTCATAATAAAACATTACACTAAGAAATACTGAGCCAGAATAGAAGAGCAAAACTTTCATGCAATGTTGATTTAGAATCATGGGATCTTATAGCTCTTCAGAATTTCATCTATTGCCTAGGGCAAGCATGTATTTTGCAGATGAGAAAATTTTAGTCCTGCTTCTGACTTCTGGCTAACATAACGTCAGTGAAATCCTGATTGACTGGGCCCAGGAGTACATTTAGGCCAGCGGAATGTGTTATATATTCCAGAGATTTCTCTTGATGAAGAGGATATTATCAGTCAGTAGACAAAGAGATGCCACCATGTAGCATGAAAACATAAGGAGAAGCTAAGATGAAAGTTCAGGGTTTAATCTAAATGCAGATTGCATGAATAATGTAAGGTCTGGAGAATTATATTAGGGTTATTGACCAAGAATCCAGGCCCAATAAAAAGGACCAAACAGGCCAGGTGCGGTGGCTCACGCCTGTAATCCCAACACTTTGGGAGGCCAAGGCGAGCAGATCAACTGAGGTCAGGAGTTCGAAACCAGCCTGGCCAACATGGTGAAACCCCATCTCTACTAAAAATATAAAAAAGTTAGCTGGGCATGGTGGTACATGCCTGTAATCCCAACTACTCAGGAGGCTGAAGCAGGAGAATTGCTTGAACCCAGGAGGCGGAGGTTGCAGTGAGCCCGAGATCATGCCACTGCACTCCAGCCTCTGCAACAGAGTAAGACTCTGCCTAAAAAAAAAGGAACAAACAGAATGTGAAGTCTAAGGAATAGCGATTCTTGGTGGTGTTAGATCTAGGAAGATTCTTATAATTTGTAGGTAACAACTGAGTTTGTGATCACACTTCCATACCTGAGGTCCTGTTACAGGAAAGGGGTCCCGATCCAGACCCCGTCAGAGGGTTCTTGGATCTTGCACAAGAAAGAATTCAGGGCGACTTTTGCAGTGCAAAGTGAAAGCAAGTTTATTAAGAAAGGAAAGGAATAAAAGAATGGCTACTCCAGAGACAAAGCAGCCTTGAGGGCTGCTGGTTACCCGTTTTCTTATGGTTATTTTTTGATGATATGCTAACCAAGGGGTGGATTATCCATGCCTCCCCTTTTCAGACCTTATAGGGTAACTTCCCAACTTTGCTATGGCATTTGTAAAATGTCACAGCGCTGGTGGGAGTGTAGCAGTGAGGACAACCAGAGGTCACTCTCGTCTCCATCTTGGTTTTGGTGGGTTTTGGCCAGCTTCTTTACTGCAACCTGTTTTATCAGCAAGGTCTTTATGACCTGTATTTTGTGCTGACCTCCTATTTCATCCTATGCCTTAGAATGCCTTAACCTTCTGGGAATGCAGCCCAACAGCTTTCAGCCTCATTTTACGAGATCCTCTTTAAGATGGAGTTCACATGCCTCTGACAATCCCTCTGACCTAGGTCTTTGTGTTAGTTTTCATGTTTCATGGATGCTCTAACTAAAATGGCTCCTGCTATAATACCATTCCCATCCTCTTAGCCACCACCCATTCTTTCTATTAGTTGGTGGAAAACTTTATTGAGAAGGGACTTCTCTACGTCCATCTCAGAGGAAACATGTTCCTGTTTTCTAGAACCAACCCCTTTACCACTTCTTTCAGAAACTTCCCTCATTAGAGGGAGAGCTGAAGATGTCTCCCTTTGAAACTCTAAAAAAAAAAAAAAAAAAAAAAAAGAAAGTTTAAGAATCCTTAGACTTAGTGATGACTTGTTTTGTTTCTATAAAAATTTATTCTGTGTAACAGCATTTACCGCCTGACTGCTATATTTTTAAGGAAACAATGAAATTTTTTAACTCAATTTCCATTTATATGCTAAACCTTGAATATGAGACCTAAGTAACTGCATGAATTAAGGTGTTTACTGCCTCCCGGAATAAACATATGTTAATTACAGACCAAAAGACCAAAGGAAAAATCCTCCTAACTTTACTTGCCAAACTATAGATAAAAAGAGACAGTGGCAATAACTCAGTCTTTGTTAATGTTTCATCAGCAATGTACCTTGATGTACAAATGTCAGAACTTGGCACTGCCTTTTACGTTTATTGACATTCCAGTTTAGGCATTCTACTCATCCCATCAGACCATTCCCACATGGCAGGTCCAATTGTATCTTGTCTGTTGTCTATATCCACATTGTTTCTTGGTTGGTTACCATCAGTGTAGTGCTAATTTTTACTTCTCATACATTGACACTAGTCAGTTGATGAACAACGTATAGACATAATTTTTGCCAACTTCTGCTGACTTTCAGTCAATAACTATCTGACACACTCACCCCAACCCTGATGGGAATATTCACAGCATTTGAATTTTTCTAAATTGAATTTGGGATGAAAAAAGATTCAGTAGTAATAATCACAATGTGTTTTATGATCACACTTGTTTTAAATACTGGGTATAGACTTCAATCTTAAAATGATGCTAGATATTTGGATTGTGTCTCTGAATAAAAAATTGAGAATCCTAATTTGAATAAACCAATTACAAAAATATATTTTTTGAGAAAATTGGGTAAATTTGATTATGAAGTGGTCCTTAGATTTTACTAAGGAATTCCTGTTAATTTTGTTAGTATAATGACATTGTGGGTATGCCCATATTATTTACTGATGAATACTTAAACACATAGAGATGAAGATGTTACAGGAAAGTGGTCCCGATCCCGACCCCAAGAGAGGGTTCTTGGCTCTCTCGCAAGAAACAATTCAGGGTGAGTCTGCAGTGCAAAGCAAAAGCAAGTTTATTAAGAAAGTAAAGTGGTGAAAGTACAGCTACTCCATAGACAGAGTAGGGCGTTCCCGAAAGTAAGAGAGGAACGTATCCACCCTAAGTACAATACTTGTTTATATACAGGATTAAAAAAAAGATTATGGGGAGATGTGCTGTGCTACAAGGGTTTGTGATAAAGGATTCATTTTCTTAATTACTACATTTTTCAAGAATCAATATTATTATCTTCAAAGCAAAATTAGGAATGCCTTTGTTCTCCAGATATCGGGATATTAGGACTCTCTCAAGTCTGGGTCTGTTTAGTAAACATCAGTATGTTCCCTTAACGGTAAACATCTAGAGGCTAGGAATACCTTTCTGGGAATGCAGCCCAGCAAGCCCCAGCCTCATTTTCGTAGCCCTCACTCAAGATGGAGTCCTCTGGTTCCAATACCTCTGACAAAATGATAGGAGTTCCGAGATTAGCTATAAAATACTCTAGCAAAAATAAAAAGGAAGGGTCTAGATGAAGCAAATGTAGCAAAAAATTGTTAAATTTAGGTATTGAGTGTATAAGTGTTTATTATGTTATTCTCTCTACCTTTTTTATGCTTAAAATTTTTCATAATAAAAATATATTTTTTTACATAAAAATATTTAAGATATAATTTTCAATCCAAAAGCAGCCTAAGAAGTCTAGTTCTTCTCTTTACAAATGAGGAAACAAAAGCCCAGAGAAGTTAAGAGAATGCCCAGGGTCACACAGGTCCCCTGACTCCCAGATCAGCATTCTTTAGGGTATATTAAGCTACATGTTATTTCCTTTTGTAATATTTGTAGGTAAAGGAATAATTTGGGCCCTATATTTTATAAACTAAATTTTGTTAATCCTGCTTATATATTATGTGAAGGATACTACCTATTAATAATTATAGAAAAAATGATCAAACTTACCAAATACGTATGTTGTTTGCACATTGATTTAAGAAACAGTTTTATTCTATAGGAAACATACTAAGTAATTGATATATGTGTTGTGGAAGGTTACTGAACTGGGAGACATGTTATCTTAGTTCTAGTCTGCATTCTATAGAAACAATTTACATAACCTTTGGTAAGTTGCTTAACCTCTCTGGAGCTGTTCATCCATTTATAAAATGAAGGTATTGAACTAAATGACCTCTAAAATTCAATTTAGCTCTACTATTGCATGGTTTAATGACTCTATGATAATTTTTTCCATTAGAGAAAGTACAGTCAAGAAAGGCATTTTAGAACTTGTAGCAAAATTTTTTTTAATTCTCCTGAATTTAAAAAATGTTATCCACTTATAAATAATGTTTTAAAGTTTATGTAGATGCCTCTCAGATGGTCCCTGAACAGTAAGTGGCAAATGAAGCTGTCCTAAAATAGAGGTTCCTTAATTTCAGTGTTTGGGGTTTCTTCCCAAACTCAGTTTCCTTACTAAAGTGATCAAAATACTCCTATAGTGAAAAACCTCTTCCTTTTATGTCTTAACTGTGACTGTTAGGTAAGTTTTGAAGATAAATAATTTTTTTTCTATAATCAGATGATTTTCTATGTCTAGTCATGCATCCATATAATCATCCTTTTTTCTGCCTCATAAATCATCTGATGTTTTTTCCTAAGACCTTTTATGGGTTTGGCTGGTCAGAGTCATCCTGAGAGGAATCAGCATCAGTGGTGGTCATGGGATGGTCATAGATACTAGTTTGGGTCCTATGGAGATAATATTTTTGATAAGCAGCTGTGGTATTGCAAGCCATACAGCAGTGAATGTCCTGTAATAATAACAATCAGAGCTGACATTTATTAACTGTTTCCTTTGGACCAGGAACATTGCTATCCTCTTTACACTTATTTTTCCATTTTCTCCTCATGCCAAGTCTGCAACGTATTACATTGTTTAACAGATGAGGAAAACTGAGGCTTAGAGATATAAAGTAAGTTGTTTAAAAAGTGATAGTCATCGTTACCATTGTTGGATGGTAGAATTTGGGGGATTTTTTTTACTTCAATTTTTTTTTTGCAGTGTTTTGAGTTCATAAAATCTATATCATTTTGACAAAGTAGTAATTTTTGTTTAAAAAAGGAAATTGTATCTCCCAGATATGAACAGTGGTTAATTCTCAGGGTGGGAATATGGATGATAGCTATTTTCCTCTGTATATTTACCCAATTTTTTATGTTTCCAAAATTTATGAAGAAATTTTTTTAAAAGAATAGGCTGGGTGCAGTGGCTCACACCTATAATTCCAACACTTTGGTAGGCCAAGGCAGAAGGATTGCTTGAGCTCAGGAGTTCGAGACCAGCCTGGAGAACATGGCGAAATCCCATCTCTACAAAAATACAAAAACTGGCCGGGTGCAGTGGCTCATGCCTGTAATCCCAGCACTTTGGGAGGCCGAGGTGGTCGGATCACCTGAGGTCAGGAGTTCGAGACCAGCCTGACCAATATGATGAAACCCCGTCTCTACTAAAAATACAAAAAAAATTAGCCGGGTGTGATGGCATGTGCCTGTAATCCCAGCTACTCGGGAGGCTGAGATGGGAGAATTGCTTGAACCTGGGAGGCGGAGATTGCAGTGAGCTGAGATCGCGTCATTGCACTCCAGCCTGGGCAACAAGAGCAAAACTCCATCTCAAAAAAAAAAAAAAAAAAAAAAAATTAGCCAGCCTTGGTGGTACATGCCCGTGGTCCCAGCTATTTGGGGGGCTGAGGCAGGAGGACTACTTGAGCCCAGGAGGAGTCGAGGCTGCAGTAAGCTGTGTTTGCACCACTACACTCCAGCCTGGGCAACAGAGTGAGACCCTATCTCAAAAAAAAAGAAAAAAAAAAAAGAATGTGCCGAAAACAGCACACCTAGAAAGTTGCCATTTGAGATTCAAATATACAACAATATGACAATAATATTCATCGTTTCTAAATAATGTATTTATCAAAACAGTGATGTATATACACTGTACAAAATTTAAAAGGATGTTCACTGAAGACTCAATGTTCCTCCTACCCCTGCCTCTGAGACAGCTAGTTTTCCTCCCCCAGAGGCATCACTGTTAGCAGTTTCTTGGAAAACTTCTGAAAATACATTTTTCATAGATAAACATACAGGGATATATTTTTTATACAAATGGAACATGCCATAATAACTCCTGTTTCTTGCTTTTTTCTTTGTCTTCATTTGACATCCTGGAGATTGTTTCTTATTTATTCATATATAGCAGTAATGACTGCATATACAGATATCTTCATTATATGGATGGCCTGTGCATTGTTTAAGCAGTCCTCTGTTGATAGACATTGAGGTTGTTTCTATTCTTTTGCTATGACTAGCTGTACTTCTATGAGTAGCCTTGTACATAAAGCATTTCACATGAGAGCAGATCTATAAGATAAATTCCTAAGAGTGAAACGGCTATGTCAAATGGCATATATACATGAATAATTTTGATAAATATTGCCAAATCATCCTCCCTAGAAGTTAAAGTAGTATATGAAAGAGCCTGACTCTCTCTGTCCTTGCTAGTGCAGTGTGTTACTAACTTTTCTGATTTTTGCAAATCTGATCATCATTGAAAGGTACTCTCTCATGTTAGTCTAATTCATATTTCTCTTAAATGAGTGAGGTTCAACATTTTTATGTGTTAAGAGCTATTAGTACTCTTCTGGGAACTGTTATCTTTGTCTTTGATGTCTTTTTTACTCTGTAAAATTTTGTTATTTTTATGTAGTCAGATTTGTCAATCTTCTTTTATGGTTTCCGAAATTTTTTTTTTTTTTGGAGACGGTGTCTCACTCTGTCACCCAGTCTGGAGTGCAGTGGCATGATCTCAGCTCACTGCTGCCTCCACCTCCTGGGTTCAAGCAATTCTCCTGCCTTAGCCTTCTGAGTAGCTGGGACTACAGGTATGTGCCACCATGCCTGGCTAATTTTTGTATTTTTAGTAGAAACAGGGTTTCACCTTGTTGGCTAGGCTGTCTCGAACTCCTAACCTCAAGTGATCTGCCCACCTCGGCCTCCCAAAGTGCTGCGATTACAGGCGTGAGCCTCTGCGCCCAGCCCTTTTATGGTTTCTGAATTTTGTATCCTTTTTTTAGAAAAGACTTCCAACATCATTTTTTAATCTTCCTGGTTTCTTCTGGTACTTTCATGGTTCCTTTTTAAAATATTTAGATCTTTGCTCTATCCAGAATTTATTTTGGTATAAAATGTGGTTATAAGAATCTCTTTTTTTTCCCCAGATGGCTACCTGGTTGTCCCATCACTATTTATTTAGTAATCCATCTTTTCTGCAGAAATTTAAAGGGCCATTCTTATCATATACTGAATTTCTCCTTTTGGAGTTCTGTTTTTTACTTCATAAGCATTAACTGTCAGTAATCATGGGCTCAAATTTACAAATCTCACAATATTTTCACTACCTTTTTAGATGGGGCAGGGAATTATTTGGCACATGGGAAAGAAGAGAAGTGATCATGTCTTTCCAATAGGCCCCTATTTGTTTGCCAGGGAGTAAAACTCAGGAACTGACATGGTTAGCAGCACAAAGCACCTGACCCACAGTCATAGTCAACCTTGTTTTGTGCCCCTCGGAGAAAAAAAGAATAGCCCTGTTATAGAGAAGGTGGCTTTGCCTGGGGAATATTCCACATCTTAGAATGAAGTTTCCTTCTGCTGCATAATAATATTTTCAGTTTAACTGTGCCTTAAATTACATTCTAAAATTAAAAAAAAAAGAAATCTTCCTCCCACTTCAGATACACACCCCTTGATTATGCTTTGCTTGGTGAGCGCCATGAAGTGATCCAGTTCATGTTGGAGCACGGTGCCCTGTCCATCGCAGCCATACAAGACATCGCCGCCTTCAAAATCCAAGCTGTCTACAAAGGGTACAAGGTCAGAAAAGCCTTCCGAGACAGGAAAAATCTCCTCATGAAGCATGAACAGTTGAGAAAAGATGCTGCTGCCAAGTAAGTATGAGCTACGCAGATTGCGTTTTCGCCACCCAGAATCAGGGTGGAAGTGGGGGTGTGGGGGGTGCTGGGGTGGCCAGGAGAGGGAAACAGATGAGAATCTGAATTACTGTTGGTCCCTGCAACCGGTCATCTTCCCTCTTCTCAGCACTCCGTCTTCTGGAACCGAGGCTGCAGTGAAGGACAGAGGCCTAACCTCTGCTGGGTAGTGATTCCTCTAGACTAGTCCCAATGTTTCAGCCCAGGGACAAACCACTCCCACCCATGGGAGGGAGTTGGGGATGGGATTGCTTCCTAGAATAAGCTGTAAAGAAATAACTGCTCCTCTTACCCTTCCTCTCTTTCCAAAAGAAACATGCCAATATCTAGCCTACTTTCACTAGACCAGTCTAAGTCTGGTTTTAATTTGATTAAAGCAAACAACTTGGTTTTTTTTTCCACTCAGTTCTTTTTTTTTTTTTTTTTTTTTTTTTTTCTGAGATGGAGTCTCACTTGCCGCCCAGGCTGGAATGCAGTGGCACAACCTCGGCTCACTGCAACCTCCACCTCCCAGGTTCAAGCAATTCTCCTGCCTTGGCCTCCCGAGTAGCTGGGACTACAGGCGCGCGCCACCACACCCGGGTAATTTTTGTATTTTTAGTAGAGATGGGGTTTCACCATGTTGGCTAGGCTGGTCTTGAACTCCTGACCTCAAATGATCCACCCACCTCATCCTCCCAAAGTGCTGGGATTACAGGCATAAGCCACCGCACCCAGCTTTCCTTCACCCATTTCTTAACACATCTGTACTAAATAAAGTAATTTACTCAAGAAATATTGATTGAATTCTTACTATACAGACAAAATGCTTGGCTAGAGCCCAGAGAGAAAATGGCAACTAAAAAAGCAAAATCCCCCCTGCCTCAAGGACTTCGCATTTTTTTTGGACGATGATACAAAATAGCTGTCTGTGCCTCTTGCACATTCTGATTATTTCACATAAATGATTGATTTTAAAGCTGGGTGCGGTGGCTCACACCTGTAATCCCAGCACTTTGGGAGGCCAAGGCAGGCGGATCACTTGAGGTCAGGAGTTCAAGACCAGACTGGCCAAAATGGTGAAACACCATCTCTACTAAAAATACAAAAATTAGCTGGGCGTGGTGGTTAGCACCTGTTATGCCAGCTACTCGGGAGGCTGAGGCAGGAGAATTGTCTGAACCTGGGAAGCAGAGGTTGCAGTGAGCCCAGATGGCACCACTGCACTCCAGCCTGGGCAATAGAGTCAGACTCTGTCTAAAAAAAGAAAAAAAAAAGATTGATTTTAGATTATACTTAGGTTTGCCTTTTCTTTGATAGATATGTTGGGTAGAAGTATTTCAAATAGCAGCAGTGCATCACATTAGCAAATACAGATACCAAAAACTCTGATGATAAAGATGTGGACAGGCAGATTCTTTTTTTTTGAGACAGTCTCTCGCTGTCACTCAGGCTGGAGTACAGTGGCATGATCGCCACTCACTGCAGCCTCCACCTCCCGGGTTCAAGCGATTCTTATGACTCAGCCTCCCAAGTAGCTGAGATTACAGGCTTGTGCCACCACACCCAGCTAATTTTTGTACTTTTAGTAGAGATGAGGTTTTGCCATGTTGGCCAGGCTGGTCTCGAACTCCTGACCTCAAGTGATCTGCCCACCTTGGCGTCCCAAAATGCTGGGACTACAGGCATGAGCCACTGTGCCCAGCCTGGGCAGATTCTTGAAAGATAACTTCCTGGCTGTATCTCGAATGTTTCTAAATCTTGAGTCCTTCTAACTCTTAAATCCTACATCTTACCCACAAGGGGGAAGCATAAGTGTACTAAATAATCATTAAAAGTAATAATAAGAGGCAAGATAAGTCATTTTAATGAGAAGTTAAATACCACTATGTACTGGAATGCTAATCATCATGTCAGCCTTCAGTAAATAGAGAAACATACCATTTTCTGTGACTCTAAAGCTACTGAAGTAGATGGCATCCGAGGAAATACTATGTTGTACTCTTCTCTTAATGATGCCCTCTTCCTTTCACTTTTGCCAAAGAATCCAGTATCAACATAAAGCCTCTACACCCCTCTTTTTCCAGCCTTCTTATAAAAGTTCTCTGCATGTGAGTGGCAAGCATAAGTAGATAATACACATGACAAATTATCCTGAGTTGCAAGTAAATGATCTCTGTAAAGGGATGGAATGTTGTATTTCCTTCTACTGATGTTTCCATAAACTCCAGTTTATTGTGTGACAATCTATTTTCAAAATTTGTAGTCATACCTACTTGAATATAAGGTGGGACTCAACAAAGGCAACACAACTGACTTTGTATGTCCCCTAAAGGGAGGCTGTAGATCTCTAAGAGATATACTTAAGTGGTGGAGAAACTGATTTCATTTGTTCTATTTCTCAAAAGTTATTTCTTAAAATCTGAGTCAGTGTTTAATTTTGCGTTTAATTCTTGCTTGAAGAAACAAACATCAGGATGCTAAACTCAGTCCTTGCTGCTGCTGCCTCATTGACTAAGCTGGCCCAGGCACAGCATGTCACCTCGGTGTACCTTTCCCAGTTTATTATGTTAGGATGGCAGAAATCATTTTCCTCAAAATGAGGATGTGAAAGGCACTTATTAAACTTAAGTAAAGTGATTTCTAATTTACTGAAAGAGAAACCGGGAGAGAAAAAGTTATAGCGATATTTACTAAGACAGGTAATGTTAGAAAATGCTATTTAAGGAATATCTATAATCAATTTGAAAGCACTTTATAATTCACACTGCACTGCCTATGTTGTTGCCAAAATGAACATTACTATAATTTACCTGCCAAAGCACACGGTTGAGTGTACACTAAAATAAAACCATATTTATGTTGATCACCCTTCTTCCCTGAAGCTCCCTTTTTGCCAGGTTCTTATTTCACTCAAATCTCAGATCTCCTGTAACTCTCTGATTCTCCCTTCTCACATCTTTTAAATTATTCCATCTCCACACTGCAGTCAGCCTTGAAGGCAAACTTTTTAGACTTCTGCTCATGCTATACTTTTTTCCATTGAAAATGTATCTACTCTTAAATTTTAAATTAATTCATCTCTGTAGATAGCCCCCTAATCTGTCTCACATCCTGACCTCCTGGAACTCTAATCTCATATCTTCAGTTGCCTACTGGGCATTTCTGCTATGCTTTTGTCACTTGCCAACACTTTAGATCATTGGACGTTTCCATTTGCATGTCCTGTTTTCACTATAACTTCAGACTCTGCAACACACCGACATGCAAATGCAAGCAGCCCATCACCACAGTCTGTCTCTCTTCTGGCCTTTTTATGTGCTTGCTAGTGCTGCTACCATTGATTGTATGCATTCCCCCTTTGATAGCCTTTTGCTTTCATTCTTCTGTGCCACCACCACTCTATACAAACCCTCGTTCTTCTTTTTTTTGAGACAGAGTCTTTCTGTCATCCAGGCTGGAGTGCAGTGGCTCGATCTCAGCTCACTGCAACCTCCACCTCCTGGGTTCAAGCCATTCTCCTGCCTTAGCCTCCCAAGTAGCTGAGATTACAGGTGTGTGCCACCACGACCAGCTAATTTTTGTATTTTTAGTAGAGATGGGGTTTCACCATGTTGGCTAGGCTGGTGTCAAACTCCTGACCTCAACCCACCCACCTCAGCCTCGCAAAGAGCTGGGATTACAAGCATGAGCCACCACGCCCAGCCCCCTCATTCTTAAATACCAGCCATGGTGCTCTGTAAGATCCTTCAACATTTCTTTCACTTCCACTTACATTTCTAAGTCTCATTTCTCTCCACTACCACCACCCTCTCACTTGATGTCTCAGCCATCCTGAACTTTCTTCACTTCACTTACTGGGAGACCTGAGCTCCTTCCTGGCTAGTATATGTGATTATGTTTCTAAGAGTTTCATCGTCACGTCCAGTTTTGGTAACCCAGTTCAAACTCTTGTGATGCTTAAGTCCCTTCTACGAGAGATTGTTCTGTGTCCCCAAAAAGTCAAGTGCAAGAAGTCCTGTACCTCTCAAGATAGCATATTCCATTAGTGGAGGGCTCTGTCTAGCAAAAGTTCTTTTCTACCCTTTGGTCTTGAAGCTACCCCTGGAAGCCAAAGAGAAAAATCTAAATCCTTTTTCATAAACCAACTTTCAGATTTTTAAAAAACTGCTCATAACACTTCCATTGCTACTGCTCATCTCCTTTTCACTTGGTAATTAGTCAATGCTCCCGTGAACATCACCAGATTGTTAATGGTTGGCCCATGTGTCTGACTCATCTGCTCACAAAGTCATCTGGCCCATGGGGAATTACTTCCATAGTTCTATTTCATGCCATTCCACTTCTCTGAGCCTCAGATTTTCATCAGTAAAATGGAAAGAGGTTTTCTTAATTCAAGATGGGCTTCAGGGATCCATGGGTACCTGAAATTGTACACAGCATTTTGTGTGTCAGGAGCACATATGCATTTCGTGGGAGAGGATCTATAGATTTTTTTTTATCACATTCTCCAAAGGGGGTCCATGAGTCACACACAAAAAGACAAAAACCACTGGACTAAATGATCTCTAACGTCCCTCCCAGCTCTAACATTCTGTAAGTCAAAGGTCCTAAGACACACGACATTTTCTTATTCCCTTGAGAGGGAGTTAAAGATCAACTATTTCTATGCCTGTTATTCAGTGACAATGAAGAGATAAAAATCTGACAAACCCCTAGACACCATGCAACACCAACTGAAAAGGTTAGAGCTAAATCTTTTTTGTCTCATGAGGTAATATTTTCCTCTCACTGGAAATGATCCAACAGAAGTGGAATTATCATCTCTCCACAATCGTATATAAGGAATTTTTTAAATTATGTGAAGATGCCTATAATCACAGCACTTTAGGAGGCCAAGGCAAGAGGATCGCTTGAGCCCAGGAGTTTGAGACCAGCCCAGCAGTTCAAGACATAGTGAGACCACGTCTCTACAAAAAAATTTTAAAACTAGCCAGTGTGTAGTGGCTTATACCTGTAGTCCCAGCTACTAGGGAGGTGGGAAGATCACTTGAGCCAGGGAGGTTAAGGCTGCAGTGAGCTACATCACACTATTGCACTCCAGCCTGGAAGACAGAGAGAGAGACCCTGTCTCAAAAAAAAAAAAAAAAAAAAAAAATTTATGTGAGGAGCTGGTCTCTGAGATCTCTTCTGAGTCTCTGCTCATGCATACTTCTCCCTCTGCCTGAAATAACCTCTCAGTTTATTC
This sequence comes from Homo sapiens, assembly GCF_000001405.40. Classification (NCBI taxonomy): domain Eukaryota; kingdom Metazoa; phylum Chordata; class Mammalia; order Primates; family Hominidae; genus Homo; species Homo sapiens. The sequence goes on from NC_000009.12 coordinate 100,278,346, forward strand.
CTCTCTCATTCTTCATATGCAGCCTTTTTCTCCCCGTTTAATTAGTGAGTGTCTCCCACATCCTCCCATAGCCCTATATAGTTACTTCTCCTTTAGCACTCATCACATCTAGAACTCACTGTTGGCAGGAGTGTATGGGTCTGATTCCCTGACTCGATTGTCAGTTTCTTGAGAACAGGGACTGTGTGTTATGTACCTCCACATCTCTAGTACCTTAGAATGTTTGGTATATAGTAAGCATTCAATAAATAAATGTTCAGTAAATTCCCCTACAAAGGGTCTAAAACCTTACATAAGCCATTGATCACTGTAGGCCTTAGTTTCCCCATCTGTCAAACGGAAGGGTTAGACCAAATACTCTCTTAGGTTTCTTTCAGTTCTTATACGTGACTCTCCGTAAGTGTAGAACTTTAACTTGTTTGCCTTGCTCAAGGCAGCAAACACATTATATACCACTCATCCTCACAATGCTCTTTGACACTTACATATTCATTTTGTTTTCCAACTCCCTGAATATTGGTCATGAGAAAATTATCATTTGACAGATTATAACAGTCTGTGTTCTGATTTTAAAAAGAAAGAGCAAAGGGGCTCACCGCTGTCCATACTTGAACATGAAACCATGATTCTGTAAACTTCTTAGACTCAAACTGTTTACAAGTCTTATCCCTGCCAGATTTAGAGAATATTGGGAAGAACAAATGCAGGTAAATACCGTTTCTTGCTTAGAAGATATAAGGAAGTTTAGCCAAATAGTTGACGTTAATTTGTCTCTAGGAACCAAAAACATACCCGTAAGAAATGGAAGCCGGATTGAATAATGTGGATTTTAGATATTACAAATATAGATAAATATTAAAAAGTAGACATGACAGCTGTCCTTAATCTCATTTCATAAATGTGGAGATGGGCACACAAAGGTTAGCCTGCCTGAAGTCACACAGCTAGTAAGGAAGAGAGATGGCACATGAATCTAAGTCTCAAGGCCAAGCTACCTACCATTACTTGGTTCAAGGGAATCCTTCTACCAGCCAAGCCCATACTAGAGGCTGTCCCCAGATGCTAGCAACCATCTGATTGAATAACCATCTGTATCATTCAATTATGCCACTGTTGATCCCATTCGTTGTTAAGAGAGTGGTGCCAAGCCACCATTATCAATTCTATAATATAATTCAATAACGCTCTTCCTATTACCCTCAAAACTAACAGAACAGAGCACACCAATATTCTCCTAAATCCTTGAGAAAGTTACAAATATTGATTGGTCCCTAGCCTACACCAGGACAATTAACTAGAATGGCAGCATTTAGGCAAAGCTGGGTTAAATCAGTATGACAGGACACACTAACTAGACTTCTCTTTTCTGTGGAAGCATTTTAATCACATCTCTCAGACCTCACTAGGTGTTGTATTCATGGCAATGGAAACCTGAATATTCATGGGATGGGAAAGAGCCTGCCTGGTTCTGCAGTGTCTGATAGAATTAATTTCTTCGTGTCAAAAGTGGGCAAATAGAACTCTCTTGTGGGTCGCAGTATTTAGAAGGCACATAGTGGGGTAGAAAAAATATCAACTTCCATAACTCCAACTGTGCAGGGCCAGAGTCGAGAGTTTGCCATATTGTGCAAACAAATACATCCACTCCTGAGATGCTGAAACCATCGTACGTTCAAGTCATTTAAGTTACTGCCCTTGATCAGCTTTTGTTAAAATTTGTTAAAATTTCTGATCACTCACCTTCTTTTTAGCCCTTTTCTTGCTAAATTTTCATCCAGGCTAGTGATTTGTAAAAATTTCTATCTGTGGGTCTTAGATTTGGTTTTAGGGGGCTTTGGGGGAATATCTCTGCCCCACAATAGCCCTCCAGCAATGTGAAGCAGCGTTGTGTCTTGTAAATCTTTTCTTCCCTGGGTAGACAGCCCCAGTCCCATCAGCTGATAGTCTGGAAACTCCTCTTCACCCTGTGGAGCACAGGACCTGAAATAGATGTTGTCAAAGATTTGATCCCCAGTTGACTTTCTCACTTTCTTATCCTGTAAGCCTCTGAAGAGCTGCAAAATTGCTCTAAAAGAGACAGTACAAACCAGACTAAATTGGAAGCCCATTAGAAGCTGTCATCTAGCCAATTTCTCTTCACATAGTAGGTAGGAAAAAAAAAAGAGAGTGAAAGGTGGGACTAGTTTATCCACTAATATTCTGCCATGTTAATAATTTTCCTGCAGAAATGTTGCTTGCTGTGTCATAGAACTTTTTTTAATTTTTCATATCAACTAGAATAATCTTTTTCTGATTTTTTTTCTAAACTTTACAAGTAAAATAGATCTTTATAACATAGCACACCTTAATGATTAAAGATCTTTGACATTTCATCATAACTTAAGAAAAAAACATTTAAATTTCAGGACAATTATTGAATCTAAGAGCTAAGGACTAAACACTACGTCGAAAGCTAGTTATGGCTGAGTGTGGTGGCTCACACCTGTAATCCCAGCCCTTTGAGAGGCTGAGGTGGGAGGATCACTTGAGGCCAGGAGTTGAAGACAAGCCTGGGCAACATAGGGAGACCTTGTCTCTACAAAAATTTTTTTTAAAAATTAGCCTAAAAGTTCAAGGTTACAATGAGCTATGATTGCACCACTGCATTCCAGCCTAGGTGACAGAGTGAGACCCTGTTTCTAAAAATAAAAATAAAAAAGAAAGCTCATTTTTAAATGCTGCTAATGGTTAGTTTGAAGTGGCATCCCCAGCTTCTTTGTATGACCCAATTAATTTTTTAAATAATGGAAGAAGATTAGGTGAAATTTTTAAAAACAATTCTGTCATGGGGATGAATTTTACCAGGAGATAAAGCAGCTGCGTTCTATCTTGGCTCTGTCTGTAGTTTACCATGCAGCCTTGGGTAAGTCACTTACCTCTCTGCCTGTTTTCTTATCTACCAAATGAGGGTGTCACCCTCAATAAACTGGTTTCTTCAAACTCTTACACTATGAGCAATGGTTCTGGACCTTTTCCCCAGGGAGAGACATATATGTGGGGTCACGTTCAACTCTCAGAAGCTGAATTGTGTGTGTTGTTGTTATTGCTGCTGCTGCTTTAGTTTTAAGGCAGCAATATAGATAAAATAGGATACAAGTTATGCATAATTTCCAGTTTTAATCCCACTCCGTTTTTTCTCAGTGATCACTGCTATTACATCAAAGAACCACTGGTCTGAAGAACTTCACAATTGTGGGCCATGTGCCACCTAGAAGATTTTTTTAATGCAAAATGCATCAATTTAAAAAACATTAATTATATTTGTAAGACCAGGGGCTAATTATTCATTCAGATGATTGCATTCTGTCTCCTAATTCTGCTTACGTAGTTCTACCAAAATGAAAAATCACCCCCCTGGTATCCCCCCTCCAAAGCAATCTCCAGAAGCCAAAGCCCTCTTGCTTTCTGGATGTCTTGATCACTTTAAAAGGCTGGATCCCCTGTTCCTCATGTGGCTGCCTTTGTTGAAGGCCCAGAAAGGTTTGCAGTGATAAGGTTTGCCCCGGGGCTGGCTACAGAGAGGCTTCTTGGAATTGAACAAGAGAGCTGTTGGGTTTCCTAAAAAGAAAGAGGAGACTGCTCAAATAACAAAGTCTAATTTATCACCTCAGAGTCCCCCTTAATGGCAGTGAGATCCATATAGGTGCCAACCCAGACAGCCACCCACATGTGTCTGTCTAAAGAGCCAATATCATTCTCTTAAAACAGCCCTGCTCATCGGTGCTGATAAAAAGCTCAGCACTTCCTCTGCCTTCCTGGAGCAAGGCTATTAAATCTATTAGCAGCACTTCAGCCACCCAGATGCTTCCACCTTCTTCTGAAAAGCAGCCTTGTCCCAGAGAGATCACACTGAAATGGCACCTGCTTGCATCCGTATGAATCTCAGGCTCCGAGATGACAGGCTGTCCGGCTGGCCTGTAGACCACAGTCATTAGCAGGTGGCAAAGATGTCACAAAACCAGAGTCAAATAAAAACACTAGAGCTGTACAGGAGTTAGCACGACCCATCTGGCCATGTTCTCGGTAATGGGACTCAGTAGAAAACTATTATATAAGCAAGCTTGGACCCCAGATCAGGGGCTACTCCATACAGGAAGAAAGAGTTTCAGAAGGGGAATTTAACAAGTTGACAAGGTTGTAAATCAAAATGTAACCCAGATGTATGTCAGCTGGGGCTTTCCTGTCGCTTGAGATCTAAATAAGCTTTGCTTCAAATGCCGTAGTCCATAGCAGTCTGGATTCTATGACTGCTTGGAGGCTTAGGGTCTCCGCCTTGTCTCATGCTTCTGTGTCTGATCCTTAGCTCTGCAATTTGTCAGGTTGCCTATAAAGAAGGCATGCTCATGTGTGAGCAAGGTGGGCCTTACAAAAAATTGGTGTCATTGTGGAGAATCACATTTCATATTGTATGTTTCATTCCATCTAGTGGTATAGTGAACAGTCCATATTAGACTTTCCTGTGCTCTTAAGCCTGGCTACTCAAGGTGTGGCCAGAGGGCCAGCAACACCTGGATCACCTGGGTGCTTGCTAGAAATGCAGAATCTTGAGTTCTCTCTAGCCTAAGTCGGAATCCATAATTACCAAGACACCAGGTGATTCAGCCCAATAAAGTGTGAGGAGCACAGAACTAAAGTCCTTTTCAGCCGGGCGCGGTGGCTCACGCCTATAATCCCAACCCTTTGGGAGGCTAAAGCTGGGGGATAGCTTGAGGCCAGTAGTTCAAAACCAGCCTGGGCAACAAAGTGAGACCCCCCCTCCCCATCTCTACAAAAAATTTAAAAATTATCCAGGTGTGGTGGGGCATGCTACTCGGGAGGCTGAGGTGGGAGGATCGCTTGAGCCTGGGAGTTCAAGGCTGCGGTGAGCTAAGAAGGTACCACTGCACAGTGCACTCTAGCCTAGGTAAAAGACCGTGTCTTTAAAAAGATAAATAAATACAAAATATAACATTTCTTCTATCATATATTAGGTCTTTGTTTTCCTGGCTGTCCCCTTCTGGGTAGAAGATTCCTCAGGAGAGGACCTGAAATCTGTGGTTGTCATTTCTGTATCTTCAGTGCCCAGCAGAGAGAGACTCAGAAATTAAGTGTTTTTCCTCCTGTCTTTCCCTTGGGAATCCCTACAAGTTAACAGCAATGGTCAAACAAATCCTGCCCCTAACTCGGCCCCTTTGTCTTGAGTTAGGGGCCTGGGCTACCTTTCTGAGCCACCTCAGACCCACCTGCCTCGCCCAGCTACTCATCTTTAGACGGGCCCCTGCTCCCCAGCCCTTCTCTGTTCTCCTGCTACCCAAGGGTTCCAGCTTTGCCACCAGCTACTTATGTGTGACTTTTTGAAAATCACCCTACCTTCTGGGTCTCATCTGTAAAATGAGTGGATCTGACTCATTAGCTAGAGCTGTCAACGGCAGCATCTGCAACTCACAGGTGTGTTTTAATCACTGGCAAGGTACTTTGCAAGTGACTTTTTATATGATCATTAAGGTTTGATGGGCTTTTTTAAATGAATAGAGCAGATTCAAGGTTATCCCTTTGACTGTCATTCTCGGTAGCATTCTGGTGTGCTTTCTGAAACAGGAGAAAAATGGGTGGAGTTACAGGTAGCTCCAGGGATCACACATAAGCTTGGGGCACATACACCGTTGGGAGTGTGTTATGTTTCACACAGAAAAGTTGCCTGGTTATCTGTCATGTGTCTCAACAGCACAAAGACTGATCTATAAACTTTTCTGCTCCATCATCTTTTGGGCTATAAGGCCTGGTGTAAAAGAGATGGTTTTTATTTTATCTGGAGAAAAGACTGCTCTTGGAAAATGCAAATTTCCAAATATCTCCTGTGATGTAGTAGCTCCTCTTAAAATTTAAACTCACACAGAGACTTGAGGAGGTGATACTCTTTAAATTTTTTCATCTTCTTCTTTGGCTTTGCTTCCAGAAAGCGAGAGGAAGAAAACAAACGAAAAGAGGCAGAACAGCAAAAAGGAAGGCGGAGCCCAGATTCCTGCAGACCCCAGGCCCTTCCCTGTCTGCCTAGCACCCAGGATGTGCCCAGCAGGCAGAGCCGGGCCCCCAGCAAGCAGCCTCCTGCTGGCAACGTGGCCCAAGGCCCTGAGCCAAGAGACAGCAGAGGATCTCCAGGAGGGTCTCTAGGCGGAGCCCTCCAGAAGGAGCAGCATGTTTCCTCAGATTTGCAGGGAACAAACTCCAGAAGGCCAAATGGTAGGTGTATTGCCTTTGTCATCTTCTGCCGGCCCATGGACTGTGGGCTTTTTTGATTGGTGTATTTAGACCAATTACACTTAAGATAATTGTTATATTAGCACCTAGGACCGCCACTTTATGATTTGTGTTCTACTTGTTTCCTCTGGTTCTCAGTTCTTTTTCTTTTTTTTCCCTTCCTGTAGGTTACTTCAGCATTTTTAAAAATTCTATCTTGATTGATTTATGGTTTTTTGTTTTCTTTTCTTTTTTAGAGTGAAGTGTGAAAACCTCACTTCCATTCACTTTGTCCACTTTTACGTTTCATTGCTTAGGTATCGGATGGTGTTATAAATTTTGTTTCAATCATGAAATACAATTTATAAAACTCACAAAGGAAATAACATTTTATGCGCCCGCCTGTATTTCTGCTCTTCTGTTGTTTCTTCTTCCTTCCTGATGCTCTAAGATTCTTGTATCATTTCCTTTCTGTATGAAGAGCTTTCTATGGCCAATCTTTAAGGGTATGTCTGCTAGCAACAAATTCTTTCAGTTTTCCTTTGTCTGAGAATGTTTTTATTTGATTCCTGAAGAATCATTAAGCCAGATATAGAATTCAGGGTTGGCAGTTCTTTTCTTTTAGCACTTGAAAAATATTGTGCCATTTCCTTTTGGCTTCCATGGTTTCAGATGAGAAATCCACTGTCATTCAAATTGGTGTTTCTCAGTAACAGTCCTAGGTAATATGTCATTTCTCTCTGGCTGCTTTCAAGATCTTAAAATTTATCATTAGCTTTCAGAAGTTTAATATGATGTGTCTTGGCATGGCTTTTTGCAGTTTATCCTATTTAGAGTTTACTTGTGTGTCAGGGATCCCCATGATCCCCATCCCCAAGACTACCACCAGGTTTGGTGAGGTTGGAGGATTTACTAGTTTGACTGAGCATATAGTTGTACTCCCAGTTAGGATTTATTATAACAAAGGGACACAAAGCAAAATGAGCAAAGAGAAAAGGTGTATGGAGCAATGTCCAGAGGAAATTAGGCACGAGCTTCCAACGGCTCTCTCCCAGTGGAGTCACACACAACACGTTTAATTCCTTCTGCAATAAATTGTAACAACCAGTCAGACAATCTTTTGTTGACAAAGAAAGCTCACATGAACCTAGGACTCCAGGATTTTTATCTGGAGTCAGTCACATAGATACCCTCTGCCTAGCATATGCCAAAATTCCAGACTCCCAGAAGGAAAGGTGTGCAGCACGAACCCTATTGTTTGCACGAAGCAATTTAAACACACTGAGCTACTCTTATAAGTTAGAGAACGGTAGGAGCTTTCCCAAAATCTAAGTGCAAATGCCAACACAGTGAAAAAGGCAAATAATGTCTTCGTATTATTATGAAAATAGCCCTGACCTTATGGACTTTCTCAGAAAGGGGCTCTGGAACTTCATGATTACTGAATTCAGGGCTTGGACAGTTCAATCTGTTTCTTTGAACCTTAACTTCCTTAGCTATAAAGTGAGGGTATACTTTCTACACCACAAGGTAGCTATGGATAGAAATAATTCATGTAGTGTACTTGTTATAGCCCATAACTCATCATAGGTTTTCAGTAACTATTATTATTGAGCCACTCATTAATCTAGCCAAGAACAACTACAGAAAAGTATACATAAAATGACTACAGGCCGGGTGCAGTGACTCACACCTATAATCCCAACACTTTGGGAGGCTGGGGCAGGTGGATTACTTGAGGCCAGGAGTTCAAGACCAGCCTGGCCAACTTGGCGAAACTCCATCTCTACTAAAAATATACAAATTAGCCAGGCATCGTGGTGCATGCAACTCAGGAGGCTGAATCACAAGAATTGCTTGAACTTGAGAGGCGGAAGTTGCAGTGAACCGAGATTGCGTCACTGCACTCCAGCCTGGGTGACAGTGAGACTCTGTCTCAAAAAATATATATATCTAAAATGAATATAAACATTTCTGGAATATAATTCCATAATCCACTTTACAGTGTAATCCTTAAGGATTATATACTCATGATGCTTTGGTACATATTCATTCATTTATTCATCCAACCAGCTTTAATTAAGCTCCCATAATGTGACAGCCATGTTGAACTTCCTTGAGTTCTTTCTTAGCTTGGGGCCTTTGCAGATGCCACTCCCTCTACCTTATTTTTTAGATATCAGGGATAATGTTTCTTCTTCTGTTCAACCAATATCTCCCCGCTAAAGGAGGCTATAGTTTCCTGCTATTGCTTCCATACTTCTCCTATACTTCCCTCTTATAAAGATCATCACTTTTTACTGTTATTACTGGTTTACTTGTCATTTTTTCCACCAAACTGCAAGATCTGTAAGAGTAGGGTTGCTTCCATTATCTACTGCTGTATAACAAACCACACAAAAACAAAGTGACTTTGAACAATGACAATTTAATTTTTATGATTCTATTTTGGTTGGGAAGTTTGTTTACGGGCTTCATCTGGTCTCACTCATGTGTCTGCATTCAGGTGGAGAGTCAGTGGAATTCCATGTCTAAGATATAGTCACTTAAATGTCTAGCAATTGATGCTGGCTATCAGATGGGATTCCTTGACTCTGGTTTACGTGGTTTTCATCCTCCAGTAGACTAGACTGGCTTCCTTACATTGTGGTCTCAGGACAGCATTTTCAGAAAGCGAAGATAAAAGCCACAAGACCTCTTGAGAAATAGACTCTAGAATTTGCACACATTATATTGATCAAAGCAAGTTACGAGACCATCCCAGACCAAATGATGTCGAGAAATAGATTCCACCTTTGTGCATACTAAGATGGGAGGAATTTTTGGCTATTAAACAATCTGTCATAGTTCCTATTTGGTCACAGATTATTCACATTCCTCCCACATGCAAGATATTCTTACCCCTTGATATGGATTGGCTCTGTGTCCCCACCCAAATTCCCAGTGTTCGGGGAGGGACTTGGTGGGAGGTAATTGGATCATGATAGTGAGTTCTTACAAGATCTCATGGTTTAAATGTGTGTGGCACTTCCCCGCTCGCTCATGCTCTCTCCTGCTACCATGTGAAGAAGGTGCTTGCTTCCCCTTTGCCTTCCACCATGATTGTAGGTTTCCTGAGGCCTCCCAGTTGTGCTTCCTGTTAGGCCTGTGGAACTGTGAGTCGATTAAACCTCTTTTCTTTATAAATTACCCAGTCTCAGGTAGTTCTTTATAGCAGTGTAGGAACGGACTAATACATCCCTATCTCAGTACCCCAAAATCTCATCCTGATTATCTCATCACACTTGAAGTCTAGGATTTTAAGACATGAACTAGATGTGGTTCAGGTTCACCAGCTGGGACTCTTTCTGATTCAGAGACCAATGAGCCAAAAAGATACATTATCAACACCCCCCACACCCAACAAACAGTGGTAAGACAGGAACAGAATAACCACAGTAGACAAAAGAGGGTGGAATAGGAGGCGTATAGCAGCCATTAGTCCGTAGCAATTCTGAAAACCAGCTGGTCACATTTTACCAGGGCCCCTACTCTGAGGTAAATATTCCTTGATTAGGGTCTCATATTACTCCTGGTGGCTTCCTATTCCATTGTTCTCCATGTCTCTTGGCTCTGCTACCTGAATTCTTGGCTCTGCTCTCTGAGAAGTCCTTCCTTTTCCTAAGAAATGCCCATGTTTGCAGCTGAGTAGCTTTCTCAGCCTATCTCCTGACTATAGGATACTGGGGCCCCAGAGGCTTCTTTTTGATTTGAACTATGTCACCAGTTCAAGCTTGTGGTACTCTCAATAATGCGATTATCTCAAAAACTTCATGGGTTTCCTGCGAATCTGATTGGATTCATTTCATATTTCAAAAGCCACATCCATTATTTTTCAAACAAGCTTTGCTCTAATTTGAGTGGCTTAGATTTCTGTGGGAAAATGCCCTTGAGATTCTTAGAAATTTTTTTGTCGAGCTGAGAGGGCCTATTATGTACCACCTCAAATATTTTTGAGTCTTAATAAAGGGTTGTACAACCATACTTTTTTTTTTTTTTAAGACAGGGTCTCACCCTGTCACCCAGGCTGGAGTGCAGTGGTTCAAGCACAGCTCACTGCAACCTCTGCCTCCCAGGTTCAAGTGATCCCCCCATCTCAGCCTCCCGGGTGGCTAGGACCATAGGTGTGCGCTACCATGCCTGGCTAATTTTTTGCATTTCTTTTTTGTAGAGATGAGATTTCATCATGTTGCCCAGGCTGGTCTCAAACTCCTGGACTCAAGCAAACCACCTGCCTTGGCCTCCCAAAGGGCTGGGATTTTATAAGTGTTAGTTATTGTGTCCGCCCTGATTTGATCTTTATGCTGAGGCCTATGAGACTCTTTTGCTGGTTGGAAAGAATAAAAATGTTAAAATAGTTTTATTTTCTAACCCAGCACATCCCGGGATCTTTACATTATCTCTAAATTTTGCTTACAAACGGAGCAGTTTTTCCTTCATTTTATTTGTTTTCTCCCCATACTTTGTCATATGTAGCTTAAAAAGCAGTTGACATTTTGTTCTACATTCCACCTGGAAACTTCCTGAACTGTATCTACAGCTCCATTAGGTATATTTTCTATCTTCTATGTTACTGCAAGTGACAATTTTGCCAGTTAATTCTGCCACTGAATAACAAGGTTCACTTCTCTCTAGATTCCAACAGCAATTTCTTTTCTGCTCTTCGAGCCTTCACCAGCAGTCTCTTCATTGCCTTCCCAGCTTCTGCTCACCAACCAGTCCAAAGTCAATACCCTGGGTTTTGTATTTTAAGACAGTACCTCTCTTTTATAGATATAAATATCTGTGTTGGTTATCTCTTGTGGCATAATAAAACACTCCCAAAACTAAGTGGCTTAAAACAACAGAAGTTTATTATTTCTCACAGTCCCATGGGCTACCTGGGCAGTTCCTCTTCTCGATCACCTGGGCTCATTCATGAGGTTGATAGAATTTGCACAAGATGTGGCCAAGATGGCCGCCTTCATATATCTGGCAATTGGTGGTGGCTGTTGGCTGTCTCTATTCTCCTTTATATGGCCTTTTGTTCTCCAGTAGGTTAGACTATCTTCCTTACATATATTGTTCTCAGAGCAGTACTCTTGAGAGAAGGCAGAAACTGCATGTCACCCAGTTTATCCATTCACCTACTGAAGAAACATCTTGGTTGCTTCCATGTTTTGGCCGTTATGAATAAAGCTACTATAACATCCCTGTGCAGCTTGTATGGACATAAGTTTTCAACTTATTTGAGTAAATATAAAGGAGTGTGATTGCTGGATCTTATGTAAGAATATGTTTAGTTTTGTAAGAAACTGCCAAACTGTCTTCCAAAGTGGATGTACCATTTTGCATTCCTACCAGCAATGAATGAAAGTTCTTATTGCTCCACATCCCCACCAGCATTTGGTCACTGTTTTGGATTTTTGCCATTCTAATAGGTGTGTAGTGGTATCTTGTAGTTTTAGTTTTTTTTTTGGCCCGGTGGGGTGGGGGTTGCATATATGTGAAACATTGTAACAGCTCTAAGAGTCAGAGCTATACAAAAAGGTGGAGCCAGAGAAGTGTCTCTCACTCCCTCTTCATCTCTACTATCCAGCTCCCATTTCTCTTTTCTTTCCACCTCTTTCCCACTCAACTCCTGCAGGTAATCAATTTCTTTAGTTTTTGCTTTATGTTTTCTATATTTCTTTTTCACAAATGAGCAGATATAGGTATATTTTCTTATATCCCTTTCTTTCTTTCTTTGAGACAGAGTTTCGCTCTTGTCGCCTAGGCTGGAGTGCAGTGGCGCAATCTTGGCTCACCGCAACCTCTGCCTCCCAGGTTCAAGTGATTCTCCTGCCTCAGCCTCCGGAGTAGCTGGGATTACAGGCATGCACCACCATGTCCAGCTAATTTTTTTGTATTTTTAGTAGAGACAGGGTTTCTCCACATCGGTCAGGCTGGTCTCGAACTCCCGACCTCAGGTGATCTGCCCACCTCGGCCTCCCAAAGTGCTGGGATTACAGGCGTGAGCCATCACACCCAGCCCATCCCTTTCTTTCTTACATGAAGAGTAGTATAGTTTAGATAGCTCTTTTGCACTTAAGAGTATTTTATTTTACATTATTGAGACATAGTCTCACTCTGTTGCTCAGGCTGGAGTGCAGTGGCACAAACAGCTCACTGCACCCTCAACCTCCCAGCCTCAAGCGACCTTTCACCTCAGCCTTCTGAGTAGCTGGGACTACAGGCATGCACTACCATGTCTGGATAATTGTTTTTTTGTTTTATTTTTAGAAATGGGGTCTCACTATGTTGTCCCGGCTTGTCTCAGACTTGGCTCAAGCAATCCTCTTGCCTCAGCCTCCCAAGGTGCTGGGCCCACTGCACCCAGCCAGAACAGTTATTTTAAAGTCTGTTTCTGAAAACACATTATCTGGATAATCTATGTGCCTGTTTTATTAAGAATTTTTTTTTTTTCAGACGGAGTCTCGCTGTCACCCAGGCTGGAGTGCAGTGGTGCAGTCTCAGCTCACTGCAACCTCTGCCTCCCGAGTTCAAGCGATTCTCCTGCCTCAGCCTCCCAAGTAGCTGGGACTACACGCGTGCGCCACCATGCCCAGCTAATTTTCGTATTTTTAGTAGAGACGAGATTTCACCATGGTGGTCAGGCTGGTCTCAAACTCCTGACCTCATGATTCCTGCCTCGGCCTCCCAAAGTGCTGGGATTACAGGCATGAGCCACCGTGCCTGGCATATTTTTCAGTTTAGATGTTGTATTTGTTTTTCAAATCTATCCTTTTCTCGTATTTTAAACTTCTTTTGTGTGTTTAATCAACGTGTGTGTGCTAACGTTTTGAGAGATCTGATCTTGCTATTGTGTTAACTGTTGCTTATGGTACATTGTTTCCTCATGCATTTTGTGATTTTGGATTGTGAAGTCATTTTCAGAGGACTCCGTTGTGCAGCCTGAGTTGAGGGCATGTCACACTAAAGCAATATTGTGTTTGCTTCTGTGAGGCATCCTGGGATATCTCCATCCTAAGACCAGTTTTTATAGTAATATCTCCTATGGATTGAGAATAAATGAATACCAAGCCCATGTAAGGAAGACGACTTTGGTTTTAAATTCTTATGGGAGACTCCTTACCCCATCCAGAACCTGGGCTGAAACAAACTTCCTTGTCATCTCTAAGTGCTGGAGAGCAGATTTTAAAATCTGGATTATTTCCAAAAGGTATATCCCTTCAAGAGTGCTGGCTTCATGTAGAGTCTTGGTTCCAGTTAACTTTCTTCCTGCAAGGACTCATTTTCTGTTCTTATGTAGATGTTAAAGCACAGCCAGATATTTAATAAGACCATCTGTTGCCCACTCCACCACCATTACCTGCCTAGACAGTCACTGGATCAGCTCACATACTTAATTGCTTTGATTTTCAATTTTCTCTTTGTTTTTGGCCTCCAGAGTTCCTTTATTTTCTTAAAGGCATGACAGTGCTTTCCAAAGGATATCCACTATATTTTCGTTAAGGCGAGAAGGGCTTCAGGTTATCTAACCTACCATATTGCTGGAAATAGAAGTTAAACCGTTTTTTTCCTAGTCTGTAACTGCCACTATTATGGTGATGATATAGGCTAAGTCTGAATATTTTATGTGAACATATTAGGAAAATTATCCTACTCTGCAAGTTTTGGACAATATTTTTTCTTTGTTTCCTCAAGAAACAGCCAGAGAACATTCTAAAGGCCAATCTGCTTGTGTCCACTTCAGACCCAATGAAGGCAGTGATGGAAGCAGGCATCCAGGAGTTCCCTCTGTTGAGAAGTCCAGAGGTGAGACAGCTGGCGATGAGCGGTGTGCAAAGGGGAAAGGCTTCGTGAAGCAGCCCTCCTGTATCAGGGTGGCTGGGCCTGATGAGAAAGGAGAGGACTCCAGGCGGGCAGCTGCAAGCCTTCCACCGCACGATAGCCACTGGAAGCCCAGCAGGCGGCATGACACAGAACCCAAGGCCAAATGTGCCCCCCAGAAAAGGCGCACTCAAGAGCTCAGAGGAGGAAGGTGCTCTCCGGCTGGTTCTAGCCGCCCTGGCAGTGCCCGGGGGGAGGCGGTCCATGCTGGGCAGAATCCTCCCCACCATCGTACACCAAGAAACAAAGTGACACAAGCCAAGCTCACAGGAGGGCTCTATTCACATTTGCCACAGAGCACAGAGGAGTTGAGGTCAGGAGCTAGGAGGCTGGAGACATCTACCCTGTCCGAGGACTTTCAGGTATCTAAGGAGACTGATCCAGCACCTGGTCCCCTCTCTGGGCAGAGTGTGAATATTGACCTTCTCCCCGTAGAGCTCCGACTGCAGATAATTCAGAGAGAACGAAGGAGGAAGGAGCTGTTTCGCAAAAAGAACAAGGCAGCAGCAGTCATCCAGCGCGCCTGGCGAAGGTAGGAAAATGGGGTGCTGCCGCATCTGTGGTTCTTTGTTACTGATATTCTCAACATGACATCTGTGCTCTTTGATGTTTTCCCAGTGAGTTCCATGTGGTGGCATGGTAAGGCCAATTTTATAGAGCCTACCCATGAAATTCACACCAGATCCTAGTAATTTACATTGTATAAACCATTTGGAAGATGTTTTTGCCTAGAAAGATGGGAAAGTGCTCAGGACAGCATGGGGTAAAGGAAAAAGCCCTGGGTTTGTAACCATGAAATGTGAGGTTCAGGTAAGCTCTAACAGGTTATGTGACTTTGGGCAAATCACATGGCCCCCCTGACCCTCTGCTTCTTCATCTGTAAAACAGGATTTAATAATTGTTGCACATGTCCTGTTAATATGACAGGTTGCTGGAATGAGATAATGCACGCTTCATTAATTCTAAATTACTACACATAGGAGATACTTTATTTTTATTCTTATGTCTTTACTACCCAGGAACTAGTCATACTCCAAACACCTAAACCAGGGTCTGGATATAACAGATTGAGTGACTAAACTGTATTATGTAAACCTGTCTGAGCATCTACCAAGCTCAAAATACATAGTAGGCACTGGGAGTGGGGGTGAAGGCTGTCCTAAAAGCCTGAAACAGACTCCCAATATAGTAGAGACAAATGCCGCTAGGGGATGATTATGGGAGGACTTGAGGGGTCTTATTGCTACAAATGTTCACGTCTCATAATCTCTTTCATCCTGAAAGCCTCACTAGAGCCTAAATCTAAATTAGGCCTTACAGTGATGAATGTCCAGAGAGAAGCTGGACCCATCACCAATAGGTGGGAGTTGGCCGGGCAGAGTGGCTTACACCTGTAACCCCAGCACTTTGGGAGGCCGAGGAGGGAGGATCACTTGAACCCAGGGTTATGAGACGAGACCACCCCAGGAAACACGGCCAAACTCCGTCTCTACAAAAAGTACAACAATTACCTACGCATGGTGGCACATGCCTGTAGTCCTAGCTATTTGTGAGGCTGAGGCAGGAGGATCGCTTGAGCCCAGGAGGTCAAGGCCACAGTGAGCCATCACCATGCCACAGAACTCCAGCCTGGGCGACAGAGTGAGACCCTGTCTCAAGAAAAGAAATAGGTGGAAGTTATGTCGCCGCCATCACTGGGGAGAGGAAGACGGATGGGGAGGGAGACAAGGCAAGGAAATAATGCGGCACAGGTGTATGAGATATCGAGGTTCCCGTCAGGAGAAAAAGGAAGACGTTCTCTCCTTAACATTGGCAGGGAGAAAACTAGATAGATTCCCAGGAGGTCCAGGGAGAGGCCTCCGTTCATATCATACCAGAGACTGCCTAACCCAGAGCCGGGTGATCTGGTTTGTGCTTGCACAGGCTTTGCAATGTGTTCTCCCTATGTCTGTTTCAGCTCTTGGCCATTAACAAAGTCCTCTCATGCCTGACCCCATGTGAACTCCCAACCACACCAGGAAGCCATCATGACAGGGAGCAGTATCCCCATTTTTCAGACGAGAGGAAAAACTGACTTGTCCTTTTGGTGCAGATCCAGCACTTGAACCTCTGGCTGACTCAAATCCAAGGGCCTTTCCCTTACATTATTAGTGAAGTTAGTTTTTGCTGTGGTCAAGCTAAGGGAGGTGGAGGTGGGCCCCATGCACTTTGCCTGAAAATAGGCTGGAGAAGGCTGCCTGGTTGGTGTCACACACATCAGGGTAACCAGGAGAAGGGTGATGTTACTACTACCAATTGTTAACATACTAGTATTATTTATTGGACACTTGTGCCACTGTTCAAACTAGTTTTACCTGTGCATGTAATCGTCACTGATAACCCTGCAAGGTAGGTATTGTTCTTATCCCCGTTACACAGATGAGGAAACTGAAGCACAGAGAGGTTCATCAACTCACCAACATTACAGAGCAAGTGCCAGGGCTGGCTTTGAGCCAAGACAGTCGGCCTCGAAAGCCACAGGTGGAAATGGCCATTGCACTCTGTGGGACATGCACTGGCTACCATCCAGATGAACTTTTTAAGTATTCTGGCTAAAATCTAGGATCTAAACAAGCCAGCAAGGTTTACCACGCCAGACCCCACAGCTGCTCCCTACCTGAAATGTCTCCTTCTCCGACTGTCTGACTCCTTTGAAGAGTCAGAAGCTGACAGGTCCTGTCAGTAAGTGACCAGAGTAGCAAATGAGCCTTCAGTCATTCCCCCAAGAACAGTGGGCTTATGGTCTAACATGCCCACCTGCGTAGGTAACTACACAGGCCCCCTCTGGATGTGCCATTGTGCAATTCTGAGGCCCAAAGGACTTCTGGGATTGTTGCACATTGCAGAAAGCCAAGTCTGGTGACAGTAAACACACTTTTATTGATTCTATTATATTTTAACTACATTTTCTATTGTAAATACAGGAGCCTGAAGCGCTGTCCTGCAAGTGTATCTGATAGCAAACCTAAGCAGTGAGGGCTGGGGCAGGGGTCAGGGCTGGACACTAAGTGTTCAGTGCAGGCTGTGGTTATAGGGGACAGGTGGAGGATGGAGAAAAGGAGCTGGAAAACAGGCAGGGAAGAAGTGGGCAAAATGAACCTTGGGTCCTGAGAAAATGAAACTTGATCTTAAAATTGTCAGTTTAATAACCAAGTAAGATGACTATTTTAAAGATTGAAACAGGATCCTGGACAAGCTGAGCAGGAAAGGTGCTGCTGGGCCCACTGAGGGCTGACACCATTAACAGCTTCAGCCACTACCTGGGCTTCCCCCCAAGTTCTGTGCCCACAAGAGCAGAAGGTATGGAAGACAGCATTTCAAACAGGAGAAACTGAATTATAGCGCGGTAGTGCCATACTTTTCTCTAGACTTGGCTTTTTGGAAATGTGGTACGTATTCTAGTAGAGGGATGCCATGGTGTTACCCTCCAGGACAGAAGGAAGAGTAGTGTAGGCTGACTGAAATCAGCCTTTGGGGAAGGAGGGAGGGGCTGCACCAAGCGCTGCAAGGAGCTTTTAGCAGACTTAGGAAAAAGATTACTTCCCATTTGGTGCAGCCCAAATGGGATCACTGTAAAATCAGACATGAAGCCTGTTGCTCTCTGCAGCTACCTATAGGCTCACTAGGAATAAAGACAGATACAGATAATAAACATTGCTGCAGCTTTCCTTTGGAGGCCTCAAAATAGTTGTTGTGCTCAGTAAGTTTGGGAGTGCATGTGGGACTGAAAACATCAAATAAATCCTAGATGTAAATATAGCCATCATCCCCATTCCTCACCCACTCTAAACCCACCTCCAACAGACTTATCTTAGTAAGATGCAGCTCATACCTTTACCACTCTAAAGCCCCCTTTCGTCACCAAAGACACAGTGCTTCCACATTGTGTTACTGACTTTCTGGCACAAATGCCTCTATCTATCTCTGCTGATGCCAGTTCTGCTACGTAGAATGCCCTTCTCTGCCTGGTAAGCTCCTATTCATCTTTTAAAATCCAGCACAAATATTAACCTTGTGAAACCTTACCAAACCATCAGTCAGTCCTGCATCTGTTTGCACAACCAGCTCCTTGCTCTTGCACAGTACTCTCATGCCACACGTACCTCTTTACACAGCAGCCTGTTCCACTAGTCTGTGAGCTCCTTGAAGGCAAGGAATCATGATTGAATCCTAGTTCAGGAGGTGTTTGATAATGGAAAAAGAATTCCACATTCAACATGCTGCCGCCAAAATTAGGAATGGGAGCTTGAATGAACCTACCAGGAATTCAGCAAATACTACTCCTATAGCTTCTAGAAACCTTAAGGAAATTTAGTTTTCTCAGTACTGTGATCTTAAAGCCTCTCCTCTCCTCTGACCCAACCAGCTACCAGCTCAGGAAGCACCTGTCCCACCTTCGGCATATGAAGCAGCTTGGAGCTGGAGATGTGGACAGATGGAGGCAAGAGTCTACAGCATTGCTCCTCCAGGTTTGGAGGAAGGAACTGGAACTAAAATTCCCCCAAACCACTGCAGTAAGCAAGGCCCCCAAGAGTCCATCCAAGGGCACCTCAGGCACAAAGTCCACCAAGCACTCAGTGCTTAAGCAAATCTATGGTAACTGTCCTTCTGCCTACTTTGTAGTTCACAAGTACCCCCAGAGTACCACATCAGAATCTGAAGTAGAATTTAATTACATTGGGTAAACTTCCATTCAGATAAATTAGGTTGGTGCAAAATTAATTGTATTATTAAAAATGGTCAAAACTGCAATTAATTTTGCACCAACCTAATATTTCTCAAGCACCATTTCATTCCTGCCTCCCAGCGATACTGGGTCATAATTGTTTGGTTTCGTGAGGCATTCTAGCATCTCAGCCCAGAGTGCCCTCAAGCTTTACTGTTTAAACCTCTCCAGACCCCTGCTTGAGTCTCCTCCTTGCATTACCCATTTGGAGCATTCACGACTTAGCTAGACTCTGCCTGTATCACTTTGACTTTTCCTATGCTGAGATGTTATAGGGTTGCCCACTATGAGAATGCTCAACACCCATGCACTATAGTAAATATTTGTTCAGCAGATTAACTGCTGTAAATTGAAACATTTTCAGCTCTGCAAAGAGCCCATCCAAATAGACCCAGTAGAGTTCAAGAAGCCTTGCTGGCTCAAGAGAAAAAAAGATAAGCAAGAGCACCTTTAGAAAGATCTCCTACAGCATGAACTTTAACATTCATTTAGCAAAATCTCAGGACTTTACCCTGGGCCTACATGTTTCCACACCATACCTAACTTATCTTGACACACACCTGCAAGCTCAAGCCTTTACCACAATAAGGAATTCAGAAGTTGGTCAGGCCAAACGTATCCCTGGCCAAAGAAAAGTAACAGTTGTTGGTTCATTTCAGGTTGTTCTCACGAAGGGAAAATACATCATCCTACAAGATCTGTAAAAGCCTCTTCTGTGCTGCGTCTCAACTCAGGTAAGGCAGCCACTGCAAAGCAGATGGTGGGGAAGAACATGGGGAAGCATTTTCCTTTGTTTCATCCCCAAAGACAGAAGACATTAGAACAGATATGGCCAGGGTTTTCCAATGGTCATTTGATTTCATGGGATTATTACTGTAGCCAACATCTGTCTCCCTAAGAGGCAAATTATTTTCACAACTAAAAGCTATTATTGTTAACATTAACTCCAACAGAAATAAATGGTAGCTATTATTGATCACTTTTACACATTTTTTCACACAAAGGAAATAAATGAAAATACTGTCACTCTTCAAAGGAATACCTTGGGAATCCTTGTTCCATTTTGGTGTCACACTATGATCCCCTATTTCCTTCTCCAAGATGGGAAGAACACCATGAAGAGAACACTGAGAGCATGTACAGCCCAGGCTCAGCTGTGCGTGCTTTCCCTCATACAGGAGAAGCTCAGGGAACTTTCTTTTCAGCCACCAAGACAAGAGTGTTTTACTTAGGGCCCCCTCATTCACACCAGCATTAAATATGGGTGATAAGTTCATTGCTGTCAGCAGCTAATGCCAGGTCCAGTGTTTCTCATAGGTGGCTATGGCAACACGCTCCCCCCTGCCTCCTCGATCCACACAGTCATCCTGGAGGAACAGAGTGCAGCTGGGAAGGTGAACAATGACTGTCAGCATGAACTTTAATATTCATTTAGTTTTTTGATGGGGGGCAAAAACCTGGAGGTGGGGGACAGAGTAATTACTGCCAAATCTTTAATAAGTGTTGGACAACTCATGTAATACAGACAGGCTGATCAGGGAGTGGTGGGTGGGGTAGTTAGAAACTTTCAAAGCAATCAAGGCCTACAGTCTGTTTAAAAACAAACAAACAAAAAAACCCCTTTCATTATACCTGAGCAAATTAAAGAATCATTTCAAAAACAGAATTGTCAGATATCACTACCAGAGAAGTGGCATTTAGACAATCAAATACTAGCATAAATTAGATAACTGGATCATTTTTCAGTCTTAAGAGAAAAACAAATCCAAGACTACCAGAAATCTTTTAAAATGGTGTTTAGCAGCATATAAGTTTTTTAGTTAAGAGACTCAGAAGGGACAGAGTAAATAAATTCAAATCAATACTTAATGATTTCTTAGGACTTCATATGAACAAGCAACTTACTTGTCCTACACATATTTTTGACTGGTTTAAAATCAGACAAGGATAAAATGATCTTTTCCTAACCCCAAATTTAGGAGAACACACAGTTTTGTTAGGCTCAAGCCCACCCACATTAAGCATTAACCAGTTAATGAATATTATTGCTCTCACCCTCCAACTTGGAGAACCCCCCACCCCCGAGGTTTTAGTAGTGCCTTTACCACTTAAAAAGGAAGAAGCAGAAAGGTGGATATAGCAAAATGCCAGCCTCCTTGGGCTGTTTCTCCACATGTATTTGGGAGGCAGCAAATCAATCCCTGCTCATGTCAGTCTTCTACACCCAGCCTTGCAAACCACCCACCAAGAATCTCAGCAGAGCCTTTTATTGACACACAACACACACACACACACACACACACACACACACACAGCCTTGCAAACCACCCACCAAGAATCTCAGCAGAGCCTTTTATTGACACACACACACACACACACACACACACACACACACACACACACACCTGGGCCTATCTCTTTAACAATAAAAGAAAAGAACTCCCTTTAAAGTTCCATTCCAGTGAATGGAATAACTGTGATTATTAGTATTGGTACCCCCTGTACAAATCCAGTTTATTCTTGCTCACCTGCAGAGGGGTACACAGATGACAACTCCATTCAAGATACAGTGAAGACAGCCAAAAACAATAGTTCACATTAAAATAATTTTGTGGAAGTTATAAAACCAAGAGAGAAAAATTGAGACATATGTTTGTTACTTTTAAAAACTACTAAACCTTTAATGTATTTGCTTATATGCTCCATAAAAAGTTAGAAGCAAAATATAGCAATGTCTTCAGCAAGGTTTCTCATATGGGGCCTCAGTATCATTTGTCAAAGTATATCACTAATGTTTTCTGACTGTGGCATCCTATACATTTGTTAATTCAAAGTCATAAAAAGGCCTCAAAAATCCATTTTGATATTCCCATCAGCTTATCATTCATGAGGATCTGAATATTTTCTAACAAACCTATTTTCTAGAACAACTATTCAAAGTGTAATAGGAGAGTTAAAAGATGTGTTACCTGTTTATGTAATGTGTTATGTGAGAGACCCAGAGAGAGAATCTATTTGTTATTTCAGGCAGACTGAAGACCGAGGTTCTGGTACCAGCTCCCCAAGTGCCTGCTCTCTCTTAATCAAGTCTCCCTTGAAGAGATGTCCCATATCTTGAGACTGCAGGAAATATAAAGCTATTATATTAAGTCATCCTGCCTCTACAGTAAACTGGCCCATCATCCCAGGGATAGCCTAAACCGAAATCCTTCTTCCTCAACACCAATGAACTATTCCCTTCAGCCTTAAAATTAATAACCTTAATATCTATCTGGTATTTGTTTTTAACAGTGAGCAACCTACAGTGTATACATCTCCTTGAGAACAGTGGAAGATCAAAGAACTTTTCTTATAACCTGCAATCAGCTACTCAGCCAAAAAACAAAACAAAACCTTGACTGCCTATGGAGGAAGACTGTGTTCGGGGGAGCTGGCATAGCTAGTGCAGAGTTCAGATTTTCTGCTGATAATCTTTTACACCTTGGGAAAACTTTAATATCCGTACCTGAAGGCTGATTCACCTAAAAATGTGTTAACTGAAAGAAAATGTCAGAATGTTTCCTTTCTGCTCTTACACAGCATTGTTTTGTCAATCAACACAGCCTGCACTGAAAGGACCTGCATAGACTATGTCTGTGCAAAGTGCCTGAGTGTCTGCTTTCACCTCAGTCTGTACAGTTGGAAATGAGAATTCATAATTAACAGCAAAATCTAAGGAAAACTACGGCTGCTGGGTTGGGATTTCTGCCAGCTAGCTGGTACTGGCTTCTTGTTTCAAGAGATGAACCTAAATGAGATAGGAAGCCTGTCCCATAGCAGCCTTCCTCTCACTACTTTCCTGGCATCTAATGCAACAAACTTATCACACACACACACACACACACACACACACACACACACACATATCACGTCCCACTATTACTTCAAAATTAATCAGGTTTAAATTTTAGATCAGAATCATTGCCCACTGTTTTCATTTAGAAATTGTCCAAAAGACCATAGATACATTCTGGTGATTCCTTACATTTTACAGTTCCTACGTTAGCCTCTCAAGGCCACAAGTTGCCGCCACGTCTTCACTGAATGGCTTTCTCAGTGCTGAATACCAACAGCCGTATTACAGTATCAAGGATTCTGTCAGGTAGGGTTTACAGACCAGACTGTTCATGCAGCAAGGTGCTAACTCAGGCGTCAACGTTCTACTTGTATTTTCTGACCAACTTGCAGAAGTGAGCAATCTTCTTAAAATGCCATTTCTGTTGGCAGGGAAGAATGAAACGGCACACATCCTAGCATTCTAAGAACACCTGGTTTAAATAAAATCCAGTGATGATGGGCTCTTTCACATTGTTTAAGGGGAAAGCTGCTGTGAGAATATTGACAGTAGGCATAAACAGTGATATATTTTACTCACAGGTATTTTGGGGGTTGCTTTCATTTTCTTCAGATCAGTGCCACTTCTGTGCTAACGGTAAGAGATAGACAGATAGGCAATGAAGTGTTCACTTAATTACCTTGGTTTTTAGTTTACTAATTATTACATTCATCGTTTTTGTGATCACAAAAACACAAAGAAGGAGGTCTGCCTGGATGGAATTACAAAGATTTAGCCAGTTTCTTGGTATATAACAGAAGGTACCACAGTATCACTCTCTATTTTGTAAATATTTAGCTCCTATGAAATGCACAATGCACAACCGCCTATGACCATGTATCGTGTGCTAGTCCGGGAAGCCAGCCTACACATCAATAGGAACGCCCAAACATTATTTTCATATATCAGTGCAAAGAAAGAAGGTTCGTAAACTTCTTTAAAAGTTCAGCTTTAATGACAAAGATCTATTACATCAGTCTTTTTCTTCAAATAAGATAGATGTGAATAAACAACTTCAAACAGGAGGTACTATGGCCTCTTCAATACACTGTAGCCAGTGCACTGGGCCCTTGGGGATGCCCAGTGATATACACGTTGAAGCAGTAATGTAAGTCTGTGAGCCACTGTTCCTGAACACTTCCACTCTTCAATGTCTGGAGAGAAAAACAAGAGTAATCTGAGAACTGCACCCAAATCACTATGCTACCTGACAGTATTTTTCACACCCAAACACAATTTCCCAGAGCTTTGGCAACTGTATCCCCATCTGTAAATTACCATAGGAAGTCTTCCAGGAAACAGGGAACTATTAATTGGGCATTACCACAGGCAGTGAAAATTCCTAGTTATATCCTCAAATGCTAATGGTTTCTTGTTAAGTCTGTTCCCTCCTGCACATGCTAGAGACTAATGAAATTTCACCACCAACCATCCCTTCACCCTTGCCTCTCCCTCTTGCCATTCTAGTGTCTCATGATCTTTACCCCAGTGCCAACTGAGAATAACTCTACAGGGCCAACCAACAATTTCTGTCAATCTCTTCTTTACAAAGATGGGCTGATTCCCCAGTCTGGGAATAATCCAAGCTCTTGATTTTCTTCCCTTCACTATTTCTGAATTATTCCACTGCCACTTCCATTACCCCTACAAAGGCTACTGAAAAAATACTAATGAGCACCTGTGTTATATGCATGTAAAAGCACTATTACTTCAAAGTATCACTACGAATCTCAAGGGATAATCTGCCAATCAAACTATACAAGACACTTTTTTAACCGCCCCCCCCCCAAACTAAAATCACCAAAGGAATCCTAAACAACAGAGCTGTCCCGGCCAAACAGACACAGCTGAAGGCAGAGAGCCAACCATTAGACAAAGCTGAAGTCTGCAACTTCTGATTTTCTTACTTTAGAGTGAACTAAGTGACTAGAAATTGGCCTGAAGTTTATTCCTGCTAAATAATTTCCTTAATGACAACATTTATGGAGCACTTAACAAATGTCAGGTATACTAAAAACTTTACTTGGGTTATCTCCTTTAATGATCACCAAAACACAATAAAGTTGGCATTATTCCCATTTTTACAGATAGGAAAACAAGCTTGGATAGGTAAGAAAGAAAGAAAAAAACTTGCCAAGCTGTCACAGTTCATTAATAGAGTCTGTATCACAGTCTAGGTAGGAATGACTCTGATGCCCTTACCTTTTCAAACTAAACTAAGCTTTGTCACCTTCATTGAGTTTGATTATTTTAAGACTTTTATTACTAATTCTGGAATCACAGACACACCCCCCCCCCCATTAAGTCACAGTCAGGTGCTGGACAGCACGGGAGACCCTGAGAAACTACCATATTGGGATTAATTCCTGGACTCAATGTATGGGATCCCTTTCCTCCCTCAAAACACACTTTCCCCCATGCCCCCGTCATAAATTCATTCTTATGCTAATACTGCAAAGCCTCCGGTACCATGCTTCTTACCGTGATATTCTTGATGATCTGCTGCACCAAGATCGCATTGGTCAACATATGAGTCCTGAGGGGTGCATGCTGAAGCAGCAGTCGAAGCAGCTGGCCCACAACAGGCAGCTCCTCAGGCCCAACTCTGTTCACCCGCAGGCTCTGCAGCATCAACCTGAGGACTCGAGGCAAGAGAGCCAGGATGGAGACACAGACCCCCCACAGCTTGTCCCTACAATAACAGAGACAGAAATGAGTCAGTGAGCAAATGCCCACAGGAAAAGCCCCCCTTCTATATTCCCCCAAAGTGAAATGTCCTTTTAAGGAACATGTTTTCCAATAACATTTAAACTGAGAGCCAAATCAAGAACGCAATCTCACTTACAATAGCCACACACACACACTAAATACCTAGGAATACATCTAACCAAGGAGGTGAAAGATCTCTACAAGAAAAACTACAGAACACTGCTGAGAGAAATCACAGATGACACAGATAAATGGAAAAACATTCCATGCTCATGAATTGGAATAATCAGTATTGTTAAAATGGCCACACTGCTCAAAGCAACCTACAGATTCAACTGTATTCCTATCAAACTACCAACATCATTCTTCACACAATTAAAAAAAAATATTCTAAAATTCACATGGAACCAAAAAAGCCAGAATGGCCAAAGCAATCCTAAGCAAAAACAACCTGACTTCACAGTACACTACAAGGCTACAGTAGCCAAAACAGCATGGTAATGATAGAGAACAACAGACAGATAAACCAATGGAACAGAAAAGAGAACCCAGAAATAAAGCCACATACCTACAACTATCTCATCTTCAACTAAGGTGACAAAAACAAGCAACAGGGCAAGGATTCCCTATTCAATAAATGGTGCTGGGACAATTGGCTATCCTTTTGTAGAAGAATAAAAATGGATCCCTATCTTTCATCATATACAAAAAATTAACTCGGCCAGGCGCGGTGGCTCACGCCTGTAATCCCAGCACTTTGGGAGGCTGAGGCAGGTGGATCACGAAGTCAAGAAATCAAGACCATCCTGGCCAACATGGAGAAACCCCGTCTCTACTACAGATACAAAATTAGCCAGGCATGGTGGCACGCGCCTGCAGTCCCAGCTACTCGGGAGGCTGAGGCAGGAGAATTGCTTGAATCCGGGAGGTGGAGGTTGTAGTGAGCCGAGATCACACCACTGCATTCCAGCCTGGCAAAAGAATGAGACTCCGTCTCAAAAAAAAAAATTAACTCAAGATAGATTAAGAATTCATTACTAAGTCCTCAAAAGCAATTGCAAAAACAAAAAATGACAAGTGGGCCCTAATTAAACTTAAGAACAAGAGAAACTATCCACATTTCAATAAACATGGTGTTTTTCACTAACATTTAGGCTAAGAGCCAAATCAAGAACATCATTCTCTCGGTATCTTTATGGAGCAAAATGTTTATGGTAGAGACAGGTGACCTTGCAGCTAGCCTAACCACATTCTCCAAGTGTTAATTAGATGGTGCAATATTCACATAGACCTAGAGTCCACTGACTATGAAAGGCTCTGACCTTTTTGCAGCTTCTTTACCAGGAGTGTATAATCTTCCTAGTTCCTAAATCTTTCTAAGAGAACCTGACTACCTCCAGGTCTAGAGGGAGCAGCCCCTTCACTATATAACCAATTTCCCTGACTGCACATATGGTAATTCCATCTATGGTGAATAATGAATCCATTCTAGGCCAAATAGATACTCTTATGCAGAGCCCAGCTGGGACAGTCACGTGCAAGGAGAAAAGAGAAAGCCAGACTGCAGACATAGCTAATGCAAAGGCACGGAGATACAGACTACACAAACTAGAAGAAACGTAGAGTAAGCTGCTTTGTCTCTTGCTAAATTTCTAATTCCTAGCCCTTGGGTTTTACAAGTTACTCCTGTAATAATCAAATATTTTCATTTTCTACTTTTCTTAATTTGAGTGGATTTCAAATAACCACAGACCTTAAAAAAAAAAGACAGCCAAGCTCAAGGCCAGATGGGTAAAACCTCTAGGTGAAAGAAACTATAATGAAATTCATATAAAGATATCCAACAGTCATAAAAACTGTATGTGGGATTTTAGGGCAAGGATTTTCAACAGTCAACAGTACTGGAAGCTGAGGCTTCAGAACCCAGGTATGGAAGGCAGGGAGTTTGAACTATGCTCCTTGCACAGAATGGGAAGCCAGGAAAATGCAAATGTCAAACTATCCTACAGGGAAGTCTCTATAAACCTCCACAGAACTCCCACAAAAGACACACTTAGGGAAAAGGTATGCAGCCCAAAATATACAAGTCTGTTCAACTTGCTCCCTAAAATAAGGGAGAATGCCGACACCGCAGGAAAAAGGAGCTAATGGAACTAACAAGAACTTTAAAGAAACACCAATAAACCAAGAACACGCGAAAATGACAAAATACCAAATAAAAATCCAAAATAGAAACAAATCCAAAAGAAAACAAAAGTTGATGAAATAAAATCTCAGTAGGAGGATTAAGTAAAAGAATTAGCAAATTGAAAGATTTTTAAGAGACGAAGACAGAATAAAAAGCTCCCTATGTTTAAAAGGAGTTTTTAGAAGAAAATAGAAACAATGGGGGAAGATGGTTAAAAATTAATAATAACTTTCCAGACTTGAAGAAAAAAAACTGAATCTTCACATTACAGAAGCACACTATGTCTAGGGCAGGATAAATAACAAATCTACACTAGGACACATCCTGATCTGCAACACACTGAAGATAAAGAGAGAACAGTAAAAATATAGATTACTACCTGTAAGATTACTACCTACAAACTAAGAGGGCTCAGACTAACAGCAGATTTTTTCATTAGTTAACACTGAGGCAAGGAGACAATAGAACAGTATCTTCAAGGCACAGCAGACAGTACTAAACAACTCAACTCGGTCAAACCTAACTTTCTGGCCAGCACTTGTGAAATCAAAGGCTCCCCAGTAATTTGATTAGCATTTTCATCATTTTGTAATCTTATAAACACCTTCTCCAGTGGGGAAGAAATAGCCCAAATGGGAATTTTAGGTACCTAAGACTTCGGCTGCCAACTGTGCCTAATATCCTAGTAATGTTAACCTTTCCAGTACCCAGTATAGAATACCCCTACAACTGGGCATTTTAAACAGGCAAACAAGTATTACACACACTTAATTTTGTTCATTCCAGCCACATGAAGTCAAAGGATGTTTCTCTATAAGAAACTACAATAGATCTTTGAAACTTTGCATGAAGTTGTTTTAGGGGCCATACTTCAAGTGACAGGAAATAACAAATAGCAATACACACACATTTCATTAAGTGGGGATCTTATAAAATCTCTAGAACCCTGAGAAGTTCCTTGCTACTTATAAAGCCTTTTCTTGACCTGTCAGACCTAATGTTTGATGATGTATAAGAAAACTATCGTCGAATTTATGTTATGCATAAATTTTATAGTATATTTAAAGTGAAATACACAATTTTTTTCTATGCACATACTCTTACTGGAAAAAATTTGAATGCTGACAATAAAATGGCTAAGTTATGGTACATGCATGTAACAGAATACTATAGAGCAGACTGAGCAAACTATGGCCACAGGCCAAATCCAGCCCATGGTAAGTATTTGTAAATAGTTTTACTGGAACACAATTATACTCATTTATTTACATATTATCTATTGATGCTTTCACACTACCGTGGTAGTGCTGAGTAGCCATGACAGAGACCTAATGGTCTGCAAAACCTAAAATATTTACTAACTAACCCTTTATAGAAAGAACTTTGCTGAACCCTGGTATGGAGAAATAAAAACGAATGAAATACAGCTGAATGAGTCAACTTCAATCAATCTCAAAAGCAATGCTGAGAGAATCAAATCACAAAAAATACATGCAGTATAATTCCCATTACAAAAAATCCACAAATATGCAAAACAAACCTGATACTGTTCACAAATGCACATAAAACCATTTTTTTTTTTAAGGTAATGAAGTTGATCAACACCAAGTGATCTGGGGCAGAGGGGTACGTAGAAGACATTTAACTGTGCAGGGTACATTAACAGTATATGTGCTGATGATATTCTATATCCGAACCTGGGGTTGGTTAAATGGAGGTTCAGTTTATAATTACCTTTTAAACTACATAAATGTTTTTTTATACATTCAGTATATGTATTTTCATGTCATTTA
The DNA here is from genome assembly GCF_000001405.40 of Homo sapiens. Lineage (NCBI taxonomy): Eukaryota > Metazoa > Chordata > Mammalia > Primates > Hominidae > Homo > Homo sapiens. The sequence goes on from NC_000009.12 coordinate 100,307,841, forward strand.
AAAGTTCAAAAAAGACCAAAAAGGCACATATCAAAACATTAACAGCAGGTGACAGAATATTTGCCAACCTGTTAGCAGGTTTTAAAACCTTCTACAATGAACTTTTAATGGGCACACAAATAAGAACACAAGCATAAAATACTTTTTAAAATTAAAGTAAAATCTTCCCAACTACGCTAAAAGCTCTAGCCTGAATATTTTATATACGAGCAAAAGTACTAATTAAAAGCACTAGCATCTTAGAAGAATTTCCTTAAATCCAAGATTTTAAAATTCCCACTCTGGCTAGCTCTAATGAAGCTCAAAACAAAATACAAAGGTTGGTACTAATAGCCCATCCTCCTAACGGTAGATTTATTTTTCTTGCTAGACTTATAGCAATGTTAATAAAAGAAACCTCTCAAGAAATTTTATAATGCCATCTAAGTTTTCAAATTTGTAACTTAAAGGGGAAAGAACAAAAAACTAAAAATTTTCACTACAACACAAAGGGGATTCATGAAGGAACAAAGAAAAAGCTAGCTAGGCTGACACAAACTCTCTGAAACAGAATTTAAGGTATCTGTATAACCTAATTATCTTTAACTGTCTATTTTATTATTTGGTTGGGGGAGGAGGAACAGTAGGAAAATTAAGGTTGAAGAATAAAAAATAATTACCTCTTTCTTAGATGTTCTGCTTCCCCTTTCTCTATAGTGAGCAGAAAATAAAGAAGACTGTAGCAACAAGAAGCCAGAAATGGCAGTAGAGTCTCACTAACTACACAAGTATGATCCAGGAGCTTACAGATAACACCAAAAACACAGCCAGCCGTGCTGTCAGGAATTACAGTCAACCCAACCTAAGCAGAGAAAAACGAGATTAATCACCTCTTCATAACAGACCCGCTCCTCCACATAAAACCAAAACCTGTTAATTCACGATTAACTTTACATTATTTCTACTGAAAACCAATATATACCTAACATATGCCACCTGCCACACCTTAAGGTCCTGTTTTCCTTTGAGAATTTAATCCCTAAATTATATGACTTTGAAAACATGCAAACACAAGAAGTGCTATTAACCCAATCCACTGCCTCCCCTTCATGACAGAATCTTCTAAATGTTCTATAAAATGTCTACTGCTGGTTAGAAATAACTATTTAAAGGGATTATTTCATGCACTCAAAGAAAATCTGAATACCAACAATCATACTTAAAAATTTTTAAATTATTCAGGCTGGAAAACTTGCATGTGGCACCACTCATATGCCAGGTAATTAAATGTATAAATAGTTCATTTCAAAATTAGCCTTCCTCTGCACTTTGATTTAGTCATTCAGACATGAATAAACATACCTCTACTGGAGTCAGTAAAAGATATTACTATAGTTAACATTTGACTGTTTCACTGCCAGGAAACCCAGGAAGGGTCATTAGAGTTTGCTAATTCATCTAGAATGTACTGTATGCATTGTCATTAAGGTAGAGTCTAACTTGTAACTGTATATATACATGGTTTCAATCTCCTGGAGACTACTGTTGGGTAATGATTTTACAAAGTCTGCAAACTCTGATGTCTTAACCTCCTCCACAGGCTGTGTGAAAATAGTGGCCAAGACTGACTGGCATATTGATCTTTTACTAGAATAATGAATGTAGTCAACGGAGAGTCTAATTCTCTGGAGTGGAGGTAGGGAAAAAAAAGTGGGCATTGTTGATGGCACAGGGATAAGGACTGGAAGTTTGACAGCAGGGAGAAAGTACTAGGAATTCAAAGCAGTACTCTCTTCCAACTCAAGGGAAGTAACATTTTAAGAGAAAAAGGAGTCTGGATGTGCCTATATTTTATCCAAACAAGTGTGTTTCTCAAAGATATAATTTGGGAGCCCTGCTTTGTACTATAACACATTACAATAAAAAGCCAAAGATAAGAGTATAAACACTGGAGAAAGTTAAAAGCAACTACAGAGGTATATCTAATGTGAATTTAATACCAATGGAAATGAGACATCCAATATCAAATAACAGGTCAGTCTCAGGGTTGAGTCTACAGCTGCCAGTGACCACACCTTGTGCCGGGTTAGATGATGTGCCTACTTTGGACCCCAAACCTTCTAGGTGGAACCCAGACTTCAGTCTAGATGTTGAATTCTCAATACAATGAGGCCAAGCACACGTGAATTACAGAAGTTGGAAAGGATGTGAAGTTTAATTTTCAGGTCCCTTATTTCACTGATTTAGAAAAGTGAGGTCCTAAGAAGAGACTTTTCCCAAGGTCACTCAGAAGTAAATTAATAACAGCCAGGAAAAATACCAAGATTCCTCAGTTCTTGCCAATGCATCATGCTGCAAGAGACTATGATATCATTAATCTTAGAATTCCAGACATGCTCTTTCTGGGGCTGTGGAAAACTCTATTCTAACCAATGCATCCTGTGTTCATTCTTAAGAGAAAAAGTTTAAGGATACTTACCAAATGCTTACTGATGGCACTTTGCAAGATGTCAAAGTTCTGACTTCGGGCAGGAATAACCAATAAACTGTGAAAAACTGCCTGTCAGAAAAGGAGAAAACCACTAACCAAATCAGAACATTTTAGATCAGAAACAAGTTCAACAGATTCTTTTTTTTGAGACAGAGTTTCACTCTGTCGCCCAGGCTGGAGTGCAGTGATGCAGTCTCAGCTCACCGCAACCCCCGTGACCTGGCTCAAGCAATCCTCTGGCCTCAGCCTCCCCAGTAGCTGGGACTACAGGTGCACACCACCACGCCTGGCTAATTTTTGTATTCTTAGTAGAGATGGGGTTCCACCATTTTGCCCAGGCTTGTCTTAAACTCCTGGATTCAAGCAACCCACCTACCTCAAGACTCCCAAAGTGCTAAGATCACAGGTGTGAGCCACTGTGCCCAGCAATAGATTCTTTTAATACCTACTTGCTCTACATATTAATAGGAAACACATAACAAATTATTTTGAAGATGCAAATGTCAAAGATCAAACAAATAGACCTTATATATGGCCTAATTTTCCAAATAATTCATCTACTAATCATATGTTGAATATTGAGCTAGCCCCTATTAGATGCCATGCACAGGAATAAAAGAATGAGAAACCTTCTCTTCTTTCTCATACCCCTCAAGTGGCTTACAATCTACCAACATGGAGACCACACAGTAAGTCCTCTACTTAACAACTTCAGCAGGTTCTCGGAAACTATGACTTTAAGCAAAACAATGTATAATGCAATCATTTTTTCCCCCCAATCAACATTATTAAGAAACGTTTTTCAGCCAGGCCTGGTGGCTCATGACTGTAATTCTAGTACTTTGGGAGGCCAAGGTGGGAGGACTGCTCAAGCCCAGGAGTTTGAAACCAGCCTGGGCAACATAGTGGTACCTCATCTAGAAAAAAAAAAAAAGTTGGCCAGATGTGGTAGCACATGCTTGTGGTACCAGCTACTCAGGAGGTTGGGACAGGAGGATCGCCTGAGCCCAGGAGGTTGAGGCTGCACTGCAGTAAGCCATAATGGTGACACTGCACTGTAGCCTGGATGACAGAGTGAGACACTGTCTCCAAAAAATAAGTGTTATTCAAGGACCTGCCGTGTATGTCATTTCTGTTTCCTAAAGAACCTACTGAGGATATTAAGTGAGGGCATACTGTATTTCTATTGAGTGCTATGACAGAAAGATCTGAGTGATATGAACAAAGGGCTAACAAAAGCTTTTTTTTGCCCACCTGATAGAGAAATGTATCACAGAAAAATATTTATGACCCAGAAAATACAAATATCCTGTTCAATTTAATCATAACACTGCCTTCTCTAAAGGTAAAAAAGAAATCTGCACAAAAAGTAGAGAGTTAGAAGTAAAACCCCTAGTATTTTTAATTTCCTAAGTTCTCAGAAAAACAAGAAGAGTCAAGAACAGTACTAAGTCCTTCACAGATATCAGTCACAGCACAAACTCCAGAATCTGATACAGTATACTACCAAAAATGAAATATGTAAAAACATCACATGAAAAAACAAGAATGGTAGAAGGATGAATATCACTCTAGGAAGAGATCAGTCAGTTAAGTTCAAGAGAGCTGTCATCTAGCCCTGAAAAATCAAGACTTTTTATACTTGTTATTTACAGATTTGAGAGTGTGTGGGGGGGGGAATCAACAGATCTATACATTATTTCTCTGTAAAATATCTTGTAGATATTACCCAGATATTTTACTTGGTAACTTCTTTTATACCATTAAGTAACAATGAGAAAAAACTCATTTCCAAGGCCATCTTCCTACTCCAAAACAAACATGGTGAATATTTTTATTAATCCAAACCACATTTGAAAAGTGCACATTCAATAATGACCACTTCATCACTTCCCTTCTGCCTCCCCTTGCTGCCCTAAACAATTCAGTTCTAAAGCCAATGGCTGGAGCCAAACTAGGTAAACTCTGGCACTGGATTTGGTGGGAGTGCTGAGATGGCCCAGAGTAGACAGCCCGAAAGAACCAGAGCCCAAATGGAGTGAGATGAGAGGGGTGGCAGCAAAGGAAGACTAATTATAGACAGAGAAGCTGATCAAGTAAATATATTAAGTATAACTGGAGCCAGGTTTCTATCAGAGAAAGCAGGTACAAAAAAGAAACAGGATATAACTAGAATAAACTCTGTGGTGTTGAATGACTACTTTATGTCCAATAAGAGGATACGGGAGAAGCAACATCCAACAGCAATAAGCACACCTAAATTCCACATGTTGGTTTCTAAATACCATTCTCCACTGTTTTTTGCAGAAAACTGGTCTGCCATAACTACTCTAATATAATCTCCTCTTTCACAAATAGGAGACTACCTGAACTCTCCCCAAGTATCATACCAAGAAAGTTACATGTGCTACCATAACCGTATAGAAGCTGAGCTTTCCCTGAGAATTTACAAGTCACCATACAGACCCTGAGAGATAAAAGCAAGCTGAAAACCTAAAATAAACGTAAGATTTCAAGACCTATAAGTAAACACAGTACCAGGCACTATGGGTAATAAAAAGAGGATGTCATTGGCATGACCCTAGCATTGTGACCAGAGTCAAACAAAGCCATGAGAGAAATAAGTTAAATATCTATAAAAGATATAGTCCCTAGAGATAGGAAGAACATGAAGGTAATTCAAAATAAAATGAATTTATCAAGTAAATAAATTCATTGGTATACCAACAACAACAACAAAAGATTAGGTTGTAACTTGAACCTAGAGACTACCCTGTTGACAACACTGTCAAAACTGGCTAACAAAAAATAAAATTAGCCAGGAGAGAATATTACTTCATGAAAAAATGAAATCAAAATTACTTAGGATGACATAATTTTGCATTCTCACTGGACAAGCACCTTTCAACATTAAGAAATAGTGGCCGGGCATGGTGGCTCATGCCTGTAACCCCAGCACTTTGGGAGACCAAGGCAGGTGGATCACCTGAGGTCAGAAGTTCAAGACCAGCCTGGTCAACATGGTGAAACCCTGTCTCTACTAAATATACAAAAATTAGCCAGGCATGGTGGCAAGCGCCTGTAATCCCAGCTACTCGGGAGGCTAAGGCAGGAGAATCGCTTGAACCCGGGAGGCAGAGGTTGCAGTGAGCAGAGATCGTGCCATTGTACGCCAGCCTGGGCAACAAGAGTGAAACTTGGTCAAAAAAAAAAAAAAGAAAAAGAAAAAGAAAAAAATTTAAGAAATAAAGAATAGGGTCGGGCACAGTGGGTCACACCTGTAATTCCAGCACTTTGGGAGGCCAAGGCAGGCAGATCACTTGAGGTCAGGAGTTCAAGACCAGCCTGGCCTACATGGTGAAACCCCGTCTCTACTAAAAATACAAAAGCAGGTGTGGTGGTGCATACCTGTAATCCCAGCTACTCAAGAGGCTGAGGCAAGAGAATTGCTTGAACCCAGGAGGCAGAGGTTGGCAGTGACCTGAGACTGTGCCACTGCACTCCGGCTTGGGCGACAGAGTGAAACTGTGTTTCCAAAAAAAAAAAAAAAAAGAGACACACACATAGGAACGTAGCCTTCTTTTCTCAGCGTGTCCCTGTATGGTTTTGGTATCACGTGATACTGGTGTCACAGAATGAATTAAGGAGAATTCCCTCTTCCCTCCTTGATTTTTGGAAACAATTTCAGGAGAATGAGTATTAGCTCTTTTTTGTACATTTGGCAGAATTCAGCTGTGAATCCATCTGGTTCTGGGCTTTTTGTTCTTTGGAGATTTTTCTTTTTTTTTTTTTTTTGAGACAGAGTCTCGCTCTGTCACCCACGCTGGAGTGCAGTGGCACTGTCTAGGCTCACTGCAACCTCCACCTCCTGGCTTTAAGCAATTCTCCTGCCTCAGCCTCCCGGGTAGCAGGGACTACAGATGCATGCCACCACACCTGGGTAACTTTTGTATATTTAGTAGAGACAGGGTTTCACCATATTGCTCAGGCTGGTCTTGAACTCCTGACTTCGTGATCCTCCCACCTCAGCCTCCCAAAATGCTGGGATTGCAGGCATGAGCCACTGCGCCCGGCCTGGAGATTTTTTTATTACCAATTTAACCATACTACTCATTATTGGTCTGTTCAGATTTTCTGTTTCATCCTGGTTCAACCTTGGGGAGTTGTATGTTTCCAGGAATTTATCCATTTTCCCTCTAGGTTTTCCAGTTTGTAGGTATATAGTTGTTTGTAACAGTCTTTGTGGTATCAGTTGTTATGTCTCCTTTTCATTTCTTTTTTTGTCTATTTGGATCTTCACTATTCTTCCTTAGTCTAGCTACCGGCTATCAATCTTATCATTTTGAAGAACCAACTTTGCATTTTGTTGACCCTTTGTATTGTTTTTTGATCTCTATTTCATTTAGTTCTGCTCTAATCTTTGTTATTTCTTGTCTTCTGCTAATTTTGGGCTTGGTTTGTTCTTACTTTTCTAGTTCCCTGAAGTGCAACGTTAGGTTGCTGATTAGTTATCTTTCTCCTTTTTTGATGTAGACATTTAATGCTATGAAGTTCCCTCTCAGCACTGCTTTTCCTGTATCTCATGGGTTTTAGTATGATTTGTTTCCATTTTCAATTGTTTCTAAAATGTTTTGAATTTCTATTTTAATTTCTTCAGTGACTCAATGATTGCTCAAGAGCACGTCATCGTTCAGGTGTATGTTGTTTGATTTTGCAATACATTAATGCAAAACGATGTATTTGCATCATTTGTAAAGTTCCTCTTAGTACTGATTTCTTATTTTATTCCACTGTGGTCTGAGGAGATATACTTGGTATGATTTTGATTTTTTAAAATTTGTTGGGACTTGTTGTGACCTACCATATGGTCTATCTGGGAGATAGGTAGTTCTATGTGATGATGAGAAGAATGTATATTCTGCAGTTTGTTGAGTAGAATATTCTATAAATGTCTGTAAGGTCCACTTAGTCTAAAGTTCAACTTAAGTCTGATGTTTCTTTGTATTTTCTTTCTCGATGATCTAATGCTGAGACTGGGGTGTTAAAGCACCCCACTATTATTGTATTGCTATGTATTTCTTCCTTTAGGTCTAGTAATACTTTGGAATCTGGATGCTCTGGTGTTGGGTGCATATATACTTAGTGGTGTTGGGTGCATATATATTTAGAATTGTTATATCCTCTTGCTGAATTGATCCGTTCATCATTACATAATGATTTTCTCTGTATTTTTTAAACCTGTTTTTGATTTGAAGTCTGTTTTACCTGTAAAAGTATAGCTACTCCTGCTCACTTGTGGTTTGTTTGTATGAGTATCTTTTACCACCTCTCTAATCCCAGCTTTCAGCCAATAAAGTACTTTTTGGCTTTCAGGGTTTTTTTGTTTTTTCCTTTCAGCACTTTGATTATGCCATCCCATTCTCTTTTGGCCTGTAAGGTTTCTGCTAAAAAGTCTGCTGTTAGTCTGACGGGATTTTCTTTATAAATGACTAGACACTATTCTCTTGCTGATTTTAGAATTCTCTCTTTCATTTTGACTTTAGACAGTCTGATTATAATATGTCACGATGAAGTCCTTTCTGCAATGTATTCTCCCGAAGACTGCTAGGCCTTCTGTATCTGGACGTCTAAATCTCCTGGTAGGCTTGGAAAGTTTTCATCAATTACTTTGTTGGCTAGGTTTTCTAAACTTTAAATCTTTCTTCCCCTTGGGAATACCAATAATTCATAAGCTTAGTCACTTTACATAAGTCCCAAATGTCCTGAAGGCTTTGTTCATTCTTTTATTCCCTTATGAACACAGACACAAAATTCCTCCACAAGATACTTGCAAATCAACTCTAAAAGCACATCAAAGATAATATACCATGACGCAGGTTTCTATCTCAGGGGTGCAAGAATGGTTCAGTATACACAAATCAATAAATGTAATACATCACATAAACAGAATTAAGGACAAAAACCATATGATCATTTCAAAAGACACAAAAAATGCATTTGATAAAATTCAGCATCCCTTCATGATAAAAACCCTCAACAAACTAGGCATAGAAGAAACATGCCTCAAAATAATAAAGGCCATCCATATATGACAAACCCACAGCCAACATCACACTGAATGAAGAAAAGTTGGAAAGATTTCTTGTAAGAAATGGAACAAGACAAGGATGCCCACTTTCATCATCCTATTCAACATAGTACGGGACGTCCTAGCCAGAGCAATCAGGCAAGAGAAAAAAAATAAAAGACATCCAAATTGGAAAAGAGGAAGCTGAATTATCCCTGTTTGCTGATATGATTATTTTTTAAGAGATGGAGTCTCGCTCTGTTGCCCCAACTGGAGTGCAGTGGCACAGTCATAGTTCACTGCATCCTCAAACTCCTGGGTTCCAGCTATCCTACTGCCCCAACCTTCCAAGTAGCTAGTACTACAGGTGCATGCCACCATATCCAACTAGATGGTATGATCTTATATCTAGAAATGAATTCAAGATGTAAGATCAACATACAAAAATCAGTACATTTCTATATACCAATAACTAGTTGAAAACAAAATCAAGAAGGCAATCCCACTTATAATAGCTAAAAAAAAAAAAAAAAAAAAAACCTAGGAATATATTTAACCAAGGAGGTAAAAGAGCTCTACAAAGAGAACTAGAAAACACTGATGAAAGAAAATGTAGATGACACAAACAAATGGAAAAACATTCAATGTTCAGATAGAAAGACTGACATCGTTAAAATGACAACACTAACCAAATTAATCTTTAGATTAAATGAAACGGCTGTCAAAATACCAGTATCATTTTTCACAAAATTAGAAAAAAACCATCCTAAAAATAATATGGAACCAAAACAAGAGCCTGAATAGCCAAAGCAATACTAAGCAAAAAGAGCAAAGCTGGAAGTATCACATTCCCTGTGATACTTTACATTACCTACAAGGCTGTAGTAAACACAACAACATGGTACTGCTATAAAAACAGATGCATGGATCAAGGGAACAGAATAGAGAACCAAAAATAACAGCACATATTTATAACCAACTCAGCTTTGACAAAGTCAACAAGAACTACACTGGAGATAGGACAACTTTTACAATAAATGGTGCTGAGAAAATTGGAATGTCATGCAGAAAAATGAAACTGAATCTCTCTTACAATATACAAAAATCAACTCGAGATGATTAAACACTTAAATGTAGGACATGAAACTATAAAAATAATAAGAATCTACAGAAAACTCTTCTGGACATTGATCTAGACAAATAATTCATGACTAAGAGCCCAAAAGCACAAGCAACAAAAACAACAATAGACAAATAGGACTTCATTACACTAAAAAATTTCTACACAGAAAAATAACTACCTAAGCAAACAGAAAACCTGCAGAATGGGAGAAAATATAGGCAAACCATGCATCCAACAGGAGACTAATACCAAAAATTTACAATACAAGGAACTCAAGCAACAACAAAAAATCAAATAACCCCGTTAAAAAGTAGACAAAAGGATATGAATGGGTATTTTTCAAGATGACAAATTGGCCAAAAAGGCACACATGAAAAAATGTTCAACACATTAATCATCAGAGAACTACAAATTAAAACCACAAAAAGATATCATCTCATACCAGTCAGAATGGCTATTAAGAAGACAAAAAAAACAGATATTGGTGAGGATGCAGAACTTACACACTGTTGGTGAGAATGTCAATTAGTACAACCTCTGTGGAAATCAGTATAAAGATTTCTCAAATAACTGAAAATAGAACTACCACTCAATCCAGCACTCCCACTACCAAGTATGTACCCAAAGGAAAAGAAATAATTACATCAAAAAGATACCTATGTTTATTGCAGGACTATTCACAATTCACAATAGCAAATATATGGAATTGACCTAAATGTTCACCAACGTATGCGTGGATAAAGAAAATGTGATATTTACACACAATGAAATACTATTTAGCCATAGAAAAGAATAAAATCATGCCTTCTGCAGCAATATGGATATAACGGAAGGCCATTATCTTAAGTGAAACAAGTCAGACACAGACAAATGGCGCATATTCTTGCTTGTAAGTGGGAGCTAAAAATAATGTCTACTCATGGACATAGAGTGTGAAATGACATACAATAGAGACTCAAAAAGGTGAATGGGTGGGAGTGGGGTGAATGATAGGAGATTACTTAATGGGTACAGTGTACATTGTTGGGTGATACTCTCAGATACCTGATTCACCATTGTATAGTCTTACGCATGTAACAAAACTGCATTTGTACCCCTAAATTTACATGCACACACAAAAGAATAAAAATAAACTTAAAAACTTAGAAATGAAACAAATCTTTAGTATTAATGTTTGTGATACTGTTTGTGTATTTAGTATAAGTATTTGTAACATTTAAGACAATTTTGCCTATTAGGGCAAAAGATCAGCCTTATAATTCCAATTTAAAACATGTCAGCAGCTGGGCATGATGCCATATGCCTACAGCCCCAGCTACTCAGAAGGCTGAGGCAGGAGGATCACTTGAGCCCAGGAATTCAAGGCCAGCCTGGGCAAAATAGCAAGATCTCTTAAAAAGAAGACACCAGGCTGGGAGCAGTGGCTCACACCTGTAATCTCAGCACTTTGGGAAGCCAAGATGGGAGGATCACCTGAGGTTAGGAATTCAAGACCAGCCTGACCAACATGGCAAAACCATCTCTACTAAAAATACAAAAAAATTAGCCAGGAGTAGTGGCGGGCGCCTGTAATCCCAGCTACTCAGGAGGCTAAGGCAGGAGAATCGCTTAAACCCGGGAGACGGAGGTTGCAGTGAGCCGAGACAGCACCAATGCACTCCAGCCTGGGCGACAAAAGCGAGACTCCATCTCAAAAAAACAAAAAACACCAAACCAAACCCCAAAACAGTAACAAAAAACTTTTTAAAGTCAGTAGTTAATTAATTCAGACTTGTGGTTTTAATTTCAAGTTTCATTAAGTAGTACTAAAACATAAGATTTCCCATATTTATATCTTTAATTTATTAAATATCTCTAAGATTTACTTCAATTATTTGTGAAGGTTTGTCAGAAAACTGAAGTATTGGACAAATACTATTATGGTTATTTAAGAAAATAAAAAAATTAGGTTTGTAAAAGGAATAAAATTAAATCAAAGTCCTCTTTTAAATGTTTACATTTACTGAAAAAATAAGACTTGTAGGCTGGGTGTGGTGGCTCACGCCTGTAATCCCAGCACTTTGGGAGGCTGAGGCTGGTGGATCACCTAAGGTCAGGAGTTCGAGACCAGCCTGGCCAACATAGTAAAACCCCGTCTCTACTAAAAATACAAAAAATTAGCCAGGTGCAGTGGCGCCTGCCTGTAATCCCAGCTACTTGGGAGGCTGAGGCAGGAGAATCACTTAAACCTGGGAGGTGGAGGTTGCAGCAAGCAGAGATTGCACCATTGCACTCTAACCTGGGCAACAAGAGCAAAACTCTGTCTCAAAAAAATAAAATAAAATAAAATAAAAAATAAGACTTGTAAAACAAACTTCAAAACTTAAAGAATTTGGGTTTTAAATTTAATTTCAATAAGTTACATAGTAATTCTTAAAACCAAAGGAACTGGTGAATAATCTACCGTTTAAAAAGTCACCTTCAAGGATACCAACTCTTACTTAAGTCTTATCCTTCAAAACCTCAAATTCTTACTCTTTCATAATGCTTTCCTCTTTTAAAAAGATGGATCTATCATTCAAATTGCTGATTTGTTCTGTTCTAGTGGCACAATTTATAAAGAATGTTTCCCTTTTCAAACGTACTTCTCCCATCCAAGATTATAAGCACTTTAAACAAGTATCTTTGAAAAGATCTCACACAAGGCAACTCATATATAGTAACTATTACTGGTTGATGAACTGAATTTTAATAATTATTAGTTTCTTTTTAAATGAACTATTACCTCTGTTACATCCCAGTGGTGTAAAAATTGATCCAAATCTGTAAGGTAGAGAAGCACAGGGGAAAGCTGTGTCTGGATGACATGAGGAACTCCTCGAAGGCTCTGAAGCCAAGTCAACTCCTCTTTCGAAAACCCTAATTCAGGTAACAAAGAAAGCCAATTTAAAAAAACAAAAAACAAAAAACAATGACTTTCTTAAAAAACAGAGATGACATATGCCTTCAAGTGAACATTCTTTAAGCTACCTTGTTTTCTCTGAGCTTCTGCATTTCATGCTATATTTTAAAAAATAAAATGCTAGCAATGAAGACAGTTAAATTCATATAATTATATAAAAGATGTGATCAGACCCAATCTATAATATAGCAAGAAACAGGTTTTACCACTTCTACTAGGGTTTTGACAATTTTACTTAGAGTGAAAGGCATAATCTTTCCAATTAATGGTAGGTTTAAAAAAGCAAATGAGCAAGTAAAAGCAGTAATATACTCCTACATATATATCAAATGCTTTAGGTTCTTAGATAATAGACCTTCAAATGTTTCAAAACTACTCCATCCCCCTAGGTGTTTTTACTTTGACAATACATGTATAGTTCATTCAACAATTTCTAGTTCCCCTTACCACCTCTATTTACACTTGGCCTAACCTACACAAACAAGCTGCCAAAGTCACTCCTGAAAGGTAGTTCTCAAAATGATCAGAATACCACTGATGTGGCCCAACCCTATCTACCTTGATGTTCAAATCACTATACTTCTGTAAGCACTACCTAAAGAGGCATCATCTAGTTTGATAGCCATGTCATAGTACTGACTCCCAATGAGCTTTCTAAAATCACTAAAAACTTTCTGACAACTACTATTAAAACACACAGCCTCTCCCACCTCAAATGTATACATTCATAAATATACAGTAAACATATAGGAGCTTACATTTATCTTCTGAAGTATTTATCTTGCTAGATTCAGCATAGTATTGGATCTGTCAAGTTCTTTTTGGATCCTGACACTATATTAACTCTCCTAATTTCAAGTCTTCAGAAAATTTCAAAGAATCCTATCATTATCCAAGTATACAATGAAAATATTCAAATAATACATTTAAAATAATAGTAGTAGTACATCAAACTTAAAAATACAATAACATGACATTCAAATAATGCTCAGGGTTTTGATACTCATACTATAAGAGATTTAAAGACAAATCATCCATCCTCCTGCCTCAGAAGCCTAACAGTGTATGTAGGTTAGAAATATTCTTTCGATTTCCAGTTACTAATCACAAAAATCACTCCAAGATAGAATATTTATCATCTTCAAAACTGAACCAAACTGATAAAATGGCAAATCTTAGAAGGAGAATTGTGATTCATATTAGGTTTTTTCTTTTTTAATCTGGCAAGTGAATGTGGTTACCTGTAAGTGTGGAAAATAAGAAGCTGAAATAGTCTACATCACTCATCAACCAGTCTTTAGCTGAATACTTCCACCCAGAAAATGATGATCTATAAAAAACAAAGGGAGAACTATTACCAGAAGTGACCAACTTGACAGACTTGTCAAAGGTAGCACAGTATATAACCATTGTTCTTTACTGAAAACAAGTTTGATTTAGTAGCTTAAAATAAAACCCATAGTATGCCTTGTATTAATTTCATATCCAAGGGCTCAAGTACCCTAGTATGAAAGTTTGAAATTCAAACATATTAATACAAACTTTCATTAAAAAGCATACTTGATCAACATATATAGTACAACAGAAAATTTCCATCCCATCTGAAAATCAGACTCTAAGGAGCCAAGATGAAGTTTTGCTTTTCAGTAGTAGGTTCAGCTGCTATGTATTTACTATTTGATTTTTATAGTCTTACCCTCAGCAAATGAGTTATGTTTAAACAAGCTTCAGCTTCCTACATAACTAAGCAAAAGTATCTTAATTAGGCAAAGAAAACTTATCTTTAAAGCCACTATAAGGCAACTATGTGTTCTTATTCTTAGTAAAGTTGTAACTAGGTCTATTTCACAATAGTGCAGCTAAGGTATTGGCAGAGGACTCAAAAGGAATAGCTAAATGTAAAGCAGCTTCCCATTAAATGAGGATTATTTGGTTCCTCCTATGAGATCAGTTTCTAGTGTCTCCTTTAAAAATTCCCTTCAAGGTAAGGCTAGGAAGAAAACAGATGTCAGTCATGGGTATTGCAAAAAGGCTGAGAATAATCAGACAAACTTATACTAAAAATTTTTATCACAGACAACTGAATAAATATCAAACAAAATTAGGAACTTCTAATTCACCTATAAGTACTTAGTAATTTTTTTACTGTTATAATAATTGCATTTATATTTATTTATATATATATTTTTTGGGGGGATGGAGTTTCTCTTGTTGCCCAGGCTGGAGTGCAATGGCATGATCTCAGCTCACTGCAACCTCCACCTCCTGGGTTCAAACGACTCTCCTGCTTCAGCCTCCTGAGTAGCTGGGATTATAGACGTGCACCAACACACCCAGCTAATTTTTGTATTTTTAGTAGAGATGGGGTTTCACCATGTTGACCAGGCTGGTCTCAAACCCTTGACCTCAGGTGATCCACCTGCCTCGGTCTCCCAGAGTTCTGGGATTACAGTTGTGAGCCACTGCACCCAGCCTTATTAATATTCTTAAGGAGGGGACAGGCATAAAATAATGAAAACACTCTTCTTGAGTGTCATTCCCAGGTGATAAGCAAAGGTCTATGGGGACAATAGCACATGCTAAGGGGGTTATAAAAAGCACAGATGCTCAACACAAAGAAGTACAAAATAGTGGTTGAAAAACAAACTATTATCTTCTTGACCTCAATGAAAACAGGAAGCAATTGTGCCATCCAGTGGCCAAAAGGGGCAGCAAATTTATTTAACAGCCTATTTAAAATTCTGACCCTGTGAAAAGTGATAAATGACAAGCAATATATCATACTGTCTTTAAAACTATGAAAACCATATATACTTTCCAAGCCTGAACACTTCTGTGAGTAAAAGGGGGTGGCTGGCGCTGATTATGCTGGGCCAAAAGGAGTAAAATGGAACTGTTCCTGGCAGACCAGGTCATATGTTCACCCTATTTAAAACCCAAGCCAAACTTCTTGGTGCAAGCCAATTTCTCCTTCCTCAGAGATTTTACCTAACACCACGGAGCATCTTTCCGTATTTATGCTTTCTGTTTCCCCAATCTGGCTATAAATAAACTGGGGTAGAGGGGTAAGAACTGAGAAAAGGCCACTGGATATTATTATGAAACACCACAAGTAGAATGGTATGAGGAAAACATCAGATTGTAAAAAAACTATAACTGGTTGGTAAAAAGGTAGAGAGAGCAATTCTAAACACATTTTTTAAAAGCTGAGAGAAAATAAACATGAATGATTTCTAGCTGATGGGTTTTTAACACATGGAATCCTTGCTTAGGTGGTACATGTCCTGCCATTAGACAAATGCTTTAATAGAGACAGCAAGGTATCAGAACTACAAAAATTGAGCTAAACTTGATCTCACAGACCAATTAGTGTGACAAGATAAAAATCAGAAATGAGTAAAGGAGTATTGCAGAAAAATCAATCTGGCAACAGTATACAGGATGCATAGGACTGAGAAGCAACATTGTAAGAGTATAAGTGGGAAATAATTTAAAAGTTGACTATTTTATAGTCATGGTCAAGAAGAGGAGCTATTTTGAATAAAAAACTAAAGATATGAAGTAACCCAACATATGTCTGAATGAACTAACCGTCAGTCTTTTTTTTTAAAGATGGAGTCTCCTTCTGTCACCCAGGGTAGAGTGCAGCGGCATGATCTCAGCTCACTACAACCTCCGCCTCCTGGGTTCAAGCAATTCTCCTGCCTCAGCCTCCTGAGTAGCTGGGGTTACATGCATGAGCCGCCATGCCCAGCTAATTTTTGTATTTTTAATAGAGATGGGGTTTCACCACGTTGGCCAGGCTGGTCTCAAACTCCTGACCTCAAGTGATCTGCCTGCCTCAGCCTCTCATAGTGCTGGGATTTACAGGTATGAGCCACTGCGCCTGGCTAGTCTTATTATGACCCTATGAAAAGTGATAAAATGATGGTGCTATGGGCTCAAGAAGGCTGAAAAGTCCTAATTTTGTATTCTTTTTAAAAAGGGACTACTTTAGATGGGAATAATATACCTACATAGAGAGAAGTCTACTAATGGACTCTGTACAAATACTAAAAAGCAAAATTTAATTTGGTAGACTTTTAACTACAATGACAATCATTTAAATATGAGTCTGTATTATCAGTATTTGTAAAATTAATATATTTTCCCAATTCTCGCCACTCATCGCCACAAAAAGATAAAAGCAAAAAAACCCCAAGATTTTAAAATAATCCTTGACAAAAGTTATTAAACATAAGTGAACAGATGTTGATGAAGACATTAAATGCATCTTCCAAGGAGAATCAATTTCAAGAAACATTCAAGGGGTGATTTAACGGAACTGAATGTAAGTTATATCTAAGGAACAGAGTGCCCTCTACTGGAAGTCAAATAAAAAACAAGCTCTTAAGTTACGGAAAATTTTTTTTAAAAATTTAACTTTTAAAAGGCCTAGCATTTTGCTTACACAAAACAAAGTGCAGTTTTTTAATATCTAAAAAGAAAAAACATGGGAAACTAATCAATATTTAAAATTCTTAAAAAATATGTCCAGGCCCCTCTAATGTGCATATACAAGGAAGAAATAAACCTAAAATTTTTAAATACAAACAATATTTTATTTATATGTTTTTCTCTGTTTTGGTAAAAGGCAAGTTTATTGTCAGTTATGAAGCACACTTCCAGTGACCAGAGTCAAATATCTGTCCTATACTGGTATGAAGAAAGTCTATTAAAAGTAAGCTACTCTTACCTACCTGAGATAGGGGATCTATACAAGAAAAGTTTTCAACTACAGCCTAGATTTCTATTTCTGCCTAAAACCACATCAGACCCTACCCACAACCAGTAATACTGCTGAATACTAAAATACTATGACTGAAGATATATACATGAGGATACTTCCAACATGAGCAACATAAAACCTTTCAGAGTTTCAGAGTAAAATGGCACAGCCGCTATGGAAAATGGCATGTAGTGCTAGCTACTTTGGAGTCCAAGGAGGGAGGATCTCCTGAGCCCAAGAGTTCAAAGCTGCAGTGAGCTATGATCATGCCACTTGCACTCTAATCTGGGCAACAGAGTGAGAACTTGTCTCTTGAAATATTAAAACTTTCTTTTTTTTGAGACAGAGTCTCACTCTGTCGCCCAGATTGGAGTGCAGTGGTGCCATCTTGACTCACTGCAACCTCCACCTCCCGGGTTCAAGCAATTCTCCTGCCTCAGCCTCCTGAGTAGCTGGGACTATAGGCATGCACCATCATGCCCAGCTAATTTTTGTATTTATAGCAGAGATGGGGTTTCACCATGCTGGCCAGGCTGGTCTTGAACTTCTGACCTCGTGATCTGCCCACCTCGGCCTCCCAAAATGCTGGGATTACAGGCATGAGCCACTACGCCTGGCAAAACTTTTCAAGAAAGGTTAAAATGGTAAATTTTATGTTATGTTTATTATACCACCAGGAAAAAAAAAGTGAGAGATTACAAGTGATTCCTGGTCTCAGTCCACAAGCTTGTTTAATTCACCAGCTACATTAAATTCTGAGCTCTCTGAAGAAAAGGTCTATACTGCAATTCCATAACAACAAAGGTTTGAAGTACGACACCATCACCTACCAATAAATCCCTTACTACACACACTTTTGATAATTCTATTTCAACCCTTATTCCAAGCTATCTATAAAAGTCATTAAACAAGTAACTTGAAACAGTCTTACTCTTGTGAACTTACTCTACCTAGTGATATAGTTTTAATTGTTGCATTAAGAGTAAATGAAAGTAGTGTATGCGACTTCAAAAGGCTTCCGTAATTCACAAATTACCAGTAAAAGGGGAAAAAGATTATACACTTAAAATACAGCTCACTTGAGCATGCTACCTCATGTGCAGTATCCCGATAAGCATGGCAGCCAAACTTGAACTGAGTCTTCCCATAATACAGCAACGACTTAACCGAGAAAGCAAATCAGCCGGCAGACTGGGTAGGAAATATACAAGCTGAACCAAACGCTGCTGAGAGTCTGCAGGGAGAACCACCACAGCACCTTCTTGTGGATCTAGTGAGGTGGATAGACATATTAAAAACAACTATAAAAGACATGCAAACCAGAGATTAATAAAGCAGATCAATGACTTCCATTGAATTATGGGCTAACATTTTATGCTGAATTTTATGAATATCAATTACATAAAAGCATAATTATATTAATATCATAAAACACATATGTATGGCTTGTTAAGCTACTGCATAAAATAAAACACCAAACATAATTTAAAGATTTAATATACAAGTGTCTTGTTAGAAATAAAAACTTTCAGGGGGGTAATAAGGAAAAGAGATTGAATGCAAAGTAAACAAGCAATTTTGCTAAACAGTGACAATTACATCAACCTGACTTAAAGCAAAAGACTTTGTTTGCTGTGTGTATATATATATACCTACAGATATATGACCAATATTGAAAAATACATATTTAAAACTACAACCCACAAAAGGTGGAAACCACTCAAATGTTCATCACCAGACAAATGGATAAATACCAGTGACATATCCATACAACAAAATACTACTCAACAATAAAAAGGAATAAAGTATTGATACTTGTTACAACACGGACAAATCTTGAAAATATTATGCTAAGTGAAACAAGCCAGACACAAAAGGCCCCATGTTATGTAATTCCAAAATATCCATGATAGGCAAATCCATATAGACAGAAAGTAGATGAGTGATTTCCAGGGGCTGGGGGAAGAAAGGAATAAGGATGAACTTCCAATCAGTACAAGTTTCTTTCTGGGGTGATAAAAATGTTTTAGAATTAGACAGTGGTGATAGTTGCACAACCTTAGGAATATATTTTTTAAAATTCATTGAACTGTACATTGTAAAATGGTGAATTTTATAGTATGTGAATTATATTTCAATAATTATATGCATACATACATCCCAGTTATGTTTTAATAATTTTGCTTAAAATATTAGTTAAGTCAGTCCTAGATGAACAAAGAATATATGAAAGTCATACGAGATATTCACTATGATTAAATAAGTAATAAAGATATGTCTTGCCATCAGAGCTTCAAAGGAATTTTTAAGTATCAGATTAGTTTTGAATTTATGAATAGCAAGTGGTTTGAAAGACAATTTAAGAATGCAATAAGCATCAACAATCATTAACCTTCTATATTCTAATAAATATTGAAAATGAATTTACTGTATGATGTTTTGTTCTGGCAATTTAACCATGGTATTACTAATTCAGACTAAGGGAAAGGCAAAATTACAGAGCTCCCCTTAAAAACTTCTTTTGTATATCAGGGTGGATCAATGACTACCCATACCATTAAACAAATGAACTCTTACCATAAATTCGGAGGGCAGTAGCTTGTAAACTTTTTAGTAATTCTTTATTTGCTCGTGCTGCAGCGGTATGAATGATATCGATAAGCTGTGTAGAGAGCTCAGGATTTCGGGAGCCAAGATGAGCAAGTTGCAATGGTAAGCCAGCCAGCCAACGGGATAACACTTTACTACGATATCTTAGAAAGGCCAAAGAAGAATAAAATGTAATACTCAAAGACAAGGGAAATAAATTTAAACAAAAAAAAAATTTTTTTTTAACTTAAATATATCACAAAGTGACTAATTATGTATCAATAATACCACATTTATTCATTTAAACATTTGAGAACCTACAAGATGCCAGCATCATTTTCCAAGGCTTTACCCACTAAATTAATGTTAACTGGGGCAGTATCTAAATTGTATTTTTATTTTGAAGGATAGAGACACTTAACTATTTATCCTAATCGGTGTTATTATACTATATTAACAAATGTACACATTCACCATAAGTTGCTCCCATACAAAATAGCTTCAAACTTGTGCTATTTTTATTTCTTTAGAATACTTGCTGGAGTGTAAATGTCTTGAATAACAGTGAACATTTTCACTAGGTCCCCTGAAAGGCTGGTGATTCTATCATGGACTTTGCTGTCAAGATAGACCTGAACTTAAGTCTCAGCTCTGCTATACATTAGCTACATAATACTCACCAATTTATTTATTTTCTGCTTCCTTCTGTAAAATGGAAGCTAACAGTATCCACCTCACAGTAGCAGTATGAAGATTATTGAGATTATGTAAAGTAACTTGGCTTAAAGTAAATACCAGAATACGTTACAACAACTACCTATATATGTTGAGGTATCCCAAATCTGTATCTTCCTCTCAAACATTTCTGACTATGCCAAATAAACCTCAAACTCACCTTATTGAAAAATTCCTTAGTCCACTCTTTTGTTGTCTCTCTCTGATAGCACTAAACTAAGCCAGAAACTTTCTCATCTTCTATTGCCCTCACTCTTATCCCATATGCCTCAATATGTCACTAATGGCTAGAGATTCAACCTCCGTAATTTTTATGGGAGGGGAAGAGAAAGGGCTGAGGTTGTTCCAACTGTCCCTTAGCTATAAGTGGACAGGTAGAAATGCATGCCTAAGCAGTCTTTTATCTGTTCAGATATGGGTATAAAGTTTACTGGCACTATTACGTATGCATCTTTTAAAATTTTATACCATTTCTTAAATGCAAACAAGTAGGATTAAAAAGAATGAACTTCTCCAAAGATTTAATCTCTCTAAAATTATTTAAATACTTAGACTACAGAAAAACTCAGCAAGAGAAAAAAGAAAGGAAAAATAACAAGATTTTACCTGAATCTACAAGATCTCAGTTCTTCTGTCTGATAGATTTTACTGAAAAACTTCAATAACAAAGTCCGAACTGGAAGGATAAGGCCCCTCTGCTGATATAATGTATAAACTGCCTTAATAAGAGTCTCTGTGTCCTCTACAAACAGAAAGAAAACAACTTGCATATGAATCAAAAAATGTTTAACAGCCCCCAAATTCCTCTGAATGCACCGAAGTACTTTACTTTCTTCCTATGGCAAAGCCAATTTTAGCCACAAATAGACAACTACCATTGAAGTCCTATAGCAATAGCCTAATAAAAAAGTCAAACCAATCAGTAGTTACAGTATAAATTTTCTTAACAACAAACCTAGGAATGACAAAAACCAGAATATTAGAAAGGCAATTTAGATGGGAACCAAATAGGAAAACTTTGTTTTAAAATCAAAGAATTAGTAAGTCACTCTAAAACTGACTTAATATAACTTAACCTTAAGCTAGAAAAAAGGTAAAGAGACAGGGAAGATTCATGCCATATCAATCAAGGGAAAAAGTTCTCAAGTTCTAGCCAAACTAGATCAGAAGAGGGTAGAAATCTTTATCAATCTGCTTCAGAGTGGACCTACCCACTTAGAGATACTCTGAGCCATAAACAATTTCAGTGTTCAAGTAGACAGTAGCTACCTTTTATGGCTTGAATACAATTAGCCTGACTACATGGAATGTTTACAAGCCATCATTTCAAAGCTAGACCTTAAGATAGCACATGTAAGAGCTCCACTCTTAAATAAGGGCAAAGTAGCATCACCTACCTCTGTTTGGCTGTATTTGCATTAACCTCCAGGATACTCCCAGCAATCTGTTCAGTTGCTTACTATTTAGCCTAGAGCCATCTTCAAGGGTCTCTGTTACAAATTTCCTTATCATTTCTATCCAACTGCAATCCTTCTGCAAAGTTGACGCATTTGCCAGGGAGACCATGATATCAGACAGTGTTAAATTCAGTAAGAGATGATCTATGTTATTGGAGAGAACTGTGCAATGCTTGATGCTAGAAACAAAGACACACACATCTATAAAGCATTACGTCTACCATGCCTGCTTCATTAGAATACTTAAAATAATCTATCAATGGAGTTTTAAAAAATTCCCTTCTAGAATTAATAGATGGCCAAGAAGATAGGTGCATAGGCAAGACTTAGGCCACAGTTCTATAAATAAACCATTTCATTATGGAATCAGAGTTGTTAAGAAGGTACAGAGTGTATACAGCTCAATTCATTACTCAAGGTGCTATTCACACAAAATGTAAATGCCCTTATAATATTGCCTGGGAACTTGAAAAATAAGACTTAAAAACCCTGACACACCTGATTTAAGGCAGATGCTTATATTTGGATGGAAATCACAGTAGATCTTGGCTCTGCTTTTAACTAATCATCTGACTTAAAAGAATCACTAGTCTTTCCTGGCCATAACTTTCTCACATGTGAAATAAGGAGACATACCCCGGTAAGCACTGATTTGAAACAATTTTATAATTCACATATTAATATCAGTTTATTCACTCTAGCCAAACAAAACACAATTTCAAAAAATCTAAAATAAAATATTTTAATAAAAACAAAATTTGCAACTTAGAACATACTCATTTCAGACTGTGGTATATTCAACAGCAGAGCTTATTTCTTTCATGTTTAGAAAAACATAAAGCTGGCTGGGTGTGGTGGCCCATGCCTGTAATCCCAGTGTTTTGGGAGGATGAACTGGGAAGACTGCTTGAGGCCAAGAGTTGGAGACTAGCCTGGAAAACACAGCGAGACCCCATCTCTACAAAAAATGAAAGTAAAATTAAAGCCAGGCATGGGAGCTCACGCCCGTAATCCCAGCACTTTGAGAAGCCGAGGCAGGTGGATCACCTGAGGTCAGGAGTTCAAGACCACCCTGACCAACATGGTTAAACTCTGTCTCTACTAAATACAAAAAAAAAAAATTAGCCGGGTGTGGTGGCACATGCCTGTAATCCCAGCTACTTGGGAGGCTGAGGCAGGAGAATCACTTGAACCCAGGAGGCGGAGTTTGCAGTGAGCCAAGATTGCGCCATTGCACTCCAACCTGGGCAACAGGAGTGAAACTCCATCTCAAAAAAATAAATAAATAAAAATAAAATAAGCCAGGCATGCTGGCAAGTGCCTGTAGTCCTAGCTACTCAGGAGGCCAAGGCAGGGGCATCACTTAAGCCCAGGAGTTTGAGGTTACAGTGAGCTATGATCACACAACTGCACTCCAACCTGGGCAACAAAGAGAGACCCTATCACTAAAAAACAGAAAAGAAACATGTAAATTTGACTAAAGCCATAAATATCTCAAGCCAATCAATTTTAAAGGAAAAGATTAATCCTAGTTAGTCTTGAGCAAGGGCACAGTAGTGAGGAACCACAAATACATGAGAAGGGAAATAAAAGAAATCTGGCATTATCAAGCATCAAATGTTAAGACCCGGAACGACAAATGAGCCTGGAAAGGTAAAATGAAACCAGGTTACAAAGAGCCAGAGGCTAAAGACATCAAAATTAATTGTGTAAGCAAGGGAATAACATGGTTGCAAGCTTCTTTCAGAGACATGATTGTGTGGATACGAAAAGGACAATGAGTTACAGCCTATAAACAAAGAAGCAGCACTCCAGACAAGAGATGGCAAGTCCAAGAACCAGGGTCAATACTGGTATGAACTGGGAGAAGGAGAGCATTTACAAAGAAGAAAAATTAGCCAGATTTGAAATATGCTTAAATATATACAAATATGTGAGTCTGAAGATGGTGGAGACAGGAGGAGTAATCATTAAGGGTTCTAACAGTAGTGACTAAATTCAGAGATGATGAAGAAAAAGGGGCAGAGAGATCTAGAAATTAATTCTACGTTGGATATGTTGAGCCTAAAGTATCATAATCAAATCCAGACGGAGATGGCCAACAGATAATTCAATGTACAAGTCTGACACTGGAAGAAGTCTGAGCTATTTAATAGAAATTACCCATATGACTGCTCCTAGCTGCAAAGAAAACTGGGAAATCTGTTTTTTATTTTGTGTAGTGATACATTCAGATGAAAATTAAGAATCCTATCATTAAGAAAAGAGACAGTAAACACTGGGATAGAATTGCAACATTTCTTCCCCACAGGTAGAGCTTTGGAAAATTTACCGTAAGTTTATCTCAGGCAGCATAATCTATTACAATCCGGAAAGTCTCAATGGACATCTGCAAACTTGGGAGAGTTCCTTCTGCTCCTCCAATAACATATACAGAAATTTCAAAGACTAAATATACCAACCAACAATTCTAGGAGGAAGGCAGATCTCTGATGAAACTTTAACTTCCAGTAAAGGTAGTATAGGTAATTATAATATTGCTCAAAACAGGCCGGGCGCAGTGGCTCACGCCTGTAATCCCAACACTCTGGGAGGCCGAGGTGGGCGGATCACGAGGTCAGGAGATCGAGACCATCATGGCTAACACGGTGAAACCCCACCTCTACTAAAAATATAAAAAATTAGCCGGGCGCGGTGGCAGGCACCTGTAGTCCCAGCTACTCAGGAGGCTGAGCCAGGAGAATAGCGTGAACCCGGGAGGTGGAGCTTGCAGTGAGCCGAGATCATGCCACTGCACTCCGGCCTGGGTGACAGAGCGAAACTCCATCTCAAAAAAAAAAAAATTGCTGAAAATAACTAGAAGTGCAAGATTCCAGCACTCAAGGTTTAGTCCTGAGGGCAACTGCCAGTTCCAAAGAAAAAAGCTGCAAAACTAAGGCAACCTTTTAGTGGCCCCACAAGAAAAGAAAGTCAAAAGTCAAAGCCTAGGGCCTACCAAGACATTCCTACCTGTTTTTTGTTTTTTTGTTTTTGAGACAGAGTGTTGCTCTGTCACCCAGGCTGGAGTGCAGTGGCACGATCCTCCCACCTCGGCCTCCCGGGTAGCTGGGATTACAGGAACATGCCACCACACCCAGCTAATTTTGTATTTTTAGTAGAGATGGGGCTTCACCATGTTGTCCAGGCTGGTCTGTAACTCCTGACCTCAAGTGATCCACCCGCCTCGGCCTCCAAAAGGGCTGGGATTACAGGTGTGAGCCACTGTGCCCGGACAACATCCCTACCTTAAGCTTGGCCCTTAAAGGTTTCTCTCCCAGGAAAGTAAAAATAAGTCAAGATAAACCTGAATCCTAGTTCTGCATCATTCTAGCAGTTTAAGGAATAATTCTTCCTAAACTAATCTATAGATAGATTCAACACAATCCAAATCAAATTTCTAGCAAGCTATTTTGTAATTGTTGACAAAATGATTCTGAAGTCTATATGGAAAGGTCAAAGACCCAGAATACCAAACATAAGACTAAAGCAAAACAAGCTGGGCATGGTGGCTCATGCCTGTAATCCCAACGCTTTGGGAGGCTAAGGCGGGAGGATCCCTTGAGCCCAGTTCAAAATCAGCCTGGACAACATAAGAAGACCCCATCATAAAAAAAAAAAAAAAAAAAACCACAACAAAAAAATGCACTAAAGCAAAACAAAGCTGGAAGACTCACACTCCCCATTTTCAAGACTCCCAATAAAGCTACAATAAGCAAGATAAGATGGTATTGGTGAAACAATAAACATACATAAATTAATGGAACACAGTCCCAAAACGGACCCATGAAAATAGTCAACTGAACTTTGACAAATGAGCAAAGGAAATTTAATGGATAAAGTACAGTCTTTCCAATGAACGGTGATAGAACAACTGGAAAGAATTCTAGAATTGAAAAATAAAAAATGAAAATTCAATGGACTTATGTTTGACTACAACTGAATACAACTAAAGAATTAAAAACTGGAAGAGATAAAAGATTAAAAAATAGGTGGAGGATTCAGTAAGTAGATGTAACATGCATTAAATTGGTCTTGAAAGGGAAGAAGAGAAATTGGCAAATGTTTAAAAGATAATACGTTTTTCAGAAGCGATGAAAAGACATTTCATTCAAGATTCAAGATCTCAGATATCCACTAAATCCCAAGCAGAATAAACAGAAAAGAAAATCACACCTGGATACATCACTGTGAAATTGCAGAAAATGAAAGACAAGAAGAAAAACTTTAGGGGGAAAAAAAAAACACAGATAACTCTTAAAGTATCAACAGTTAAGACTCATAGCTGACTTCTTAACAATAGAAACCAGGACACAGTAAAATATTATTGTCAGTGTGCTCAAAGAAAATAACTGCCAAATCTATAATATTAACCCTGCTAAAACATTCTTCAGAAATGCGAGAGAAATACATTTTTATGGGGGGAGAAAAAAACGAACTAAAGAAGACTCTAAATGATCCCAGGGAGGACTGAGATACATGAAAAACATGAAGAGCAAAAAGGTAGTAAATCTAAGGACAGAATTCACAGTGGTAGACAGAAGTTTACTAAAGTATCAATTTTTGCTTGAAAGCTCAAATTTTATCATTGGCAACAAATGCCATTTGTTTTCCTGGAACTGATAGGCTCATTTTGTTCTTTTTTTTTTTTTTCCTGAGACAGAGTCTCACTCTGTCACCCAGGCCAGAGTACAGTGGCACTATCTTGGCTCACTGCAACCTCCACCTCTGGGCTTCAAGTGATTCTCCCACCTCAGGCTCCCAAGTATCAGGGGTTACAGTTGTGCGCCACCACACTTGGCTGATTTTTGTATTTTTAGTAAAGACAGGGTTTCGCCACGTTGGCCAGGCCAGTCTCGAACCCTTGATCTCAGGTGATCTGCCCACCTTTGCCTCCCAAAGTGCTGGGATTACAGGCGTGAGCCACCGCGCCTGGCCAGTCACTTTGTTCATTTTTGTGAAAACATGTGCCAAACACCCAAATCTGAATAACCACAGTTTGTCAGTCATTTTTTTTCAAGTTAAAATCTAGTCCATTCCAGGAAAATACAAGTAAGAAATTCCCACAGGGCTATTTCCTTGAGACAATCATAGTTCTTTGATATGCAGCAGAAATGCTTTATGTACACTTCCCATTCATCACACAGAATATTAAAAATATGCGTTCTCAAGGGTCAAGACTTTTTTTTTCTTTTTGGAGAAGTCTCGCTCTGTCGCCCAGGCTGGAGTGCAGTGGTGTGATCTCGGCTCACTGCAACCTTCATCTTCAGGGATCAAGCAATTTTCCTGCCCCAGCTTCCTGAGTATCTGGGACTACAGGCGCCCGCCACCATGCCCAGCTAATTTTTTGTATTTTTGGTAGAGATGGGTTTCACCGTGTTAGCCAGGATGGTCTAGGTCTCCTGACCTCATGGTCCGCTGCCTCAGCCTCCCAAAAGTGCTGGGATTACAGGTGTGAGCCACCACACCCGGACAAGGGTCATGACTTAATACAATTATTTATGTTTACTGCTTATTCAGGACCTTCTTAAGTGAAACTGGCTTGTTTTTTTTTCAACTGTGAGTGTATGGTGGTAAAGAATACATGTCTACTAGTATAGTTTGGTGCCACTGCCTTAATTCAGCCTAAGATACTAACAGTTTTACCCACCATTGCTTTCGTATCATTAGTGCAAATGTCAAAACAATGAAAAATGCAAAGCATGTCCTTTTTTTTTTTGAGATAGATGGTGATGATCACACAATATTGTGAAAGTACTTAATGCCACTGAACTGTACACTTAAAAAGTGGTTTAAATGGTTAATGTTATATATATTTTACCCCAATAAAAATAAATTATATCATTTTTAACTCTGTATTTCAACCTGAGATTTTAAAATGTAGGTATCAGGTTAAAAATACAGGCTGGGCACAGTGGCTCGCCTGAGGTCAGGAGTTCGAGACCAGCCTGACCAACATGGTGAAACCCCGTCTCTACTAGATACAAAAAATTAGCCGGGCATAGTGGCACATGCCTATAATCCCAGCTACTTGGGAGGCTGAGGCAGAAGAATTGCTTGAACTCAGGAGGTGGAGGTTGCAGTGAGCTGAGATAGTGCCACTGCACTCCAGCCTGGGCAACAAGAATGAAACTCCATCTCAAAAAAATGAATAAATAAATAAACAAAAAATAAAAATACACTGGGGGTACCTGAATAAGAAGTGCAAACAACATTGTCCTAGATTAGGGGTCCCCAACCCCTGGCCATAGACTGGCACCAGTCCGCGGCCTGTTAGGAACCAGGCCACACAGCAGGAGGTGAGCGGCAGGCAAATGAAGATTGTTCTGTATTTACAGCTGCTCCCCATTGCTCACATTACTGCCTGAGCTCTGCCTCCTGTCATATCAGTAGTGGCATTCGATTCTCATAGGAGCATGAACCCTATTGTGAACTGTGCATGCGAGGGATCTACGTTGCATGCTCCTTATGAGAATCTAACACCTGAAGATCTGTCACTGTCTCCCATCACCCCCAGATAAGACTGTCTAGTTGCAGGAAAACAAGCTCAGGGCTCCCACTGATTCTACATTATGGTAAACTGTAAAACTGTTTCATTACGTATTACAATGTAATAATAGAAATAAAGCGCACAATAAATGTAATGCACTTGAATCATCCCAAAAACCAAGCCTCCCACCTCAGGTCCATGGAAACATTGTTTTCCATGAAACTAGTCCCTCATAGCAAAATGGTTGGGGACCGTTGGCCTAGACCACTGTTGACTTCCCTAACTGTGATTTGTGCTGCTGTTCACAGGCTATTTGCTAAGTATTTAATGCATTTACTTAAGAGTAGCCTGTAGGCTCCCCAAAAATCAATCATGAGGGGGGAATCTTTTGAAAAGTAGGTCACACTGGCAATCCATCTTTGCTAAAAATCCCTCAATTTCATCATCTCAACCTCCTCATAAAGTTAATTCCTTTTCTTTTTTCCCATTTATATCTCAGCACGCTGTCACTTCCATCAGGGCAGCCTTCTCTAAGATGGTCCTCCCCTCATGAAAGATCAGGACCAACTCTTTGTTACATACTCCTGTATTAACCTAAGCTCTTCCTTCACTATATCTATCACAATCAGTCACTGATTAAAGAATCAAGTGAAATAAATGTCTTTTTCATTAGACCGTACTCCATGAGAGCTGGTACTCTACCTATTTCCTTTACCATGAAATGCTCAGCAACTAGTACAATAAGTGCCTTGCACATAAGAGTCCAATAAATTTCTTGAATGATGATATGCTGATACATTTTTCAATAATTTATTTACACTGAAGTCTACTAAATCCTAAACATCTAAACCACAATTTAATCACATTTTGATGAAAATTATACATGGAATGCCTTATTTGAAAAAATACACATACATATAATTCTCCATCAATACTTTGAGAGTTCATGGATTTTCTGAAGCTTACCTATGAATCCCAGAAGAAAAACTCTAATAAGAAAATTGTATGGGGGGAAAAAGTCTAACATCTTGCTCAATAAAGTGTCTCTTTGATTCTGTCCCCTCAACTCCAGAAGCTCCCTAAAACAGTTCTGACTGAACCAAAAGTCTTCAATGCCAAAAGGATCTGAAAGATGAACTCCTGAGTCAAGAAACGGCTTCCACATCAAGGCCAGTGAAGAGCAGAAATCAGACTGGACCCAGATCCACGCTCTCCATCCATTTCCTAATCCTGTAGCTTTCTTGTATGCTATCTCCTCTAGTTACAAAAGTCTCATCCCTTGCATTTCTGCCTCCTGAAACCATATCCACGTTCATACCCAGTTCAAATACTACTCTTCAATTTAGCTTTGTCTGTTTATCCTAATAAGCAGTTATCTGTCTCTTCCTATGAATTCTTATAGCACTTAGTTGTATAGTTCTAATGATACTTTTATACTGCTTTGTGTTACATATGTAAATATACACATGTAAATGTTAGTTACAGAGCTACTGTTTCTCAGCTTCAAAGTCGCCCTCTATACTCTGCTTTGTGACCCTGGGGTTGGGACTCTGCGACCCACATTTTTTCCTTTGTAGATGGCTTATTAGGCTCTGCCAATAAAGGGGTGGTACAAAGGGCCTAGAAAGCTGTAAGAGGAAGACGGGACACTCTTCTGTTTGCTTGCTAGTTTTGTTTTTGTTTCCTATTGCTGCCAGTGTTGATCGGCAGCTCTTCTTCAGGTCATTTGCAGTTCATTATAGTAGCCATAGCAGACTCCAGTTTGTAGTTTTTCTGACACAGAACCAGAATCATCATGCCTCTAAGAAACGTCAGCACCAGCCAGCCAGCACCCGCTTTTCAGAGTACTGGGCCCCAGCCCTATGGGGTTCTTGCTCTCAGCTAAAGATATCAGTACCTGCCTGAGGAGCATACCCTTCTGAGAGGTTAGAGTTTTGGCTCCCTTCCTCCAAGCTTCTTCCCTTCTTTGTTCTCCCAGTTCTACAAGTAGTATCTGCTTCTTGCAGTTGGTACCTCCATAATACCTAACTTCCTTTGCATACCTAGTTAACAATTATTTACATTAAATTCTCTTGTTAAAAAAATCACTGTCGGCCAGGCACGGTAGCTCACACCTGTAATCCCAGCACTTTGGGAGGCCAAGGTAGTGGGTCACGAGGTAAGGAGTTTGAGACCATCCTGGCTAATATGGTGAAAGAAACCCCATCTCTACTAAAAATACAAAAATTAGCCAGGCGTGGTGGTGCATGCCTATAATCCCAGCTACTCAGGAGGCTGAAGCAGGAGAATCGCTTGAACCTGGGAGATGGAGGTTGCAGTGAGCCAAGATTACGCCTTGCACTCCAGCCTGGGCAACAGAGTGAGACTCTGTCTCAAAAAAAAATCACTGTCGCAGTTTCTGTTTCATGACTGGACCCTGACACATTCTTTTATGATTCAGAATATAATTGCTTAAGGCTGGGTACAGTGGCTCATGCCTATAATTACAGCACTTTGGGAGGCTGAGGTGGGCAGATCACTTGAGGTCGGGAGTTCAAGACCAGCCTGGCCAATATGGTGAAACCCTGTCTCTACTAAAAATACAAAAATTAATCAGGCATGGTGGTGAACACTTGTAATCCCAGCTACTTGGGAGGCTGAGGCAGCAGGATCACTTGAACCCAGGAGGCAGAGGTTGCAGTAAGCTGAGATGGTGCCACAGCCTGGGAAACAGAGTGAGACTCCATCTCAAAAAAAAAAAAAAAAAAAAAAAAAAAAAGTATATATATATATATACATATATATATACACATATTTGTTTTTTATATATATTTATATATTATATATAATATACATTTTTATATATTTATATATATTTATATATATTTATAAAACTGCTTAGGAGGGCAAGGTACAAGGCTTAAAAAATCTGATCCTCTCTATCACAATACTTTGTTCTACCCTGTTCACAGTAAGCAACCAAAACAAATATTTAGTGCATGAATGAAAAACTCTTATGCCTGAAATAGCTGTATTGCTTCCAAGCATATTCTCTGAACCCTGCTCAAAAAACCTCAATGATTCTCTAGCTAATGTATTCCCTTTGATAAAAGAGCCTTTGACAGATTTTAAGATCCCTTGCAAGTGTATGCTCATTTACGGGAACTACAGTATTAGTATTTTAGCTTGTACCTGCTTGTCAAATTTTATTACATAACTTGTTCTCACATTTATCTGCTCTTACTTGAGGTAGACATTTTAAATAATTTCTAGGCTTACTTTTTTTTTTTTAACTTTCACCTTCTAATCAATTACCTTTTATTTCTGATTTTTCTCCAATTACCCTCCTTCCTTCGGGATACTGATATTAGTTTCAATACCAGGTTCCTCATGTATAAATGAGAGTGGAACTAGATGATCATCAAGATATTCTCTTGCTTAAGAGGTTCAATAATCACACAGTGCCTCACCCAAATAAACCATACACCTTGGCAATTTTATTAAATTCGTATTTACATAAGCTGATACATTCATCTAGCACAAAAAAACCATTTTACAGACTAAAAAATAAAAATAAAATGTTAATCCCAAGGTTCAAACTCACTTGTCCAAAAATCAGCCATATTACTACTTTTATTTTCACAAAATCTAGACATAAATACACAGCAGTGTAGAAAGTTCCATATTAAGGTTAATTACTTCCTGATAATTTCAGGTTAAACAGCTTTTCAAGGTTATACAGTGAAAAAGAATCATAATACCTTTTATTTGGCTCTTTCCTTTTGTGCTTGGTTATTTCTTTTAAGACATATGGAAAACGACTCATAAAATGGTGTTTAAAATCAATAAGGTAGTTCTTTCGAAGCCATGACTCCTATTGAAATAGCAAAGATTAGAAAAATCTACAAGAAAAAATGTAAAATAAGCAATAAAACTTGAAGAGAAATGACAACTTGTCAAATAAATGTCCCATCATAATTCACTTTCTACCAGTAATATAATATGTAAATAAATTTAAAAATCAGAATTAACTGTTAAAGCACCCACTTTTCATCTATAGATCCTTTTGGTGCTTAATAACTATTTACTTGCATTCTGTCTGCTGCTTAAGAGAGAAAAAGTGAAAGTATCTGAGACTTAAGAAAATTCTGAATTTGGACTACTAATGCAATGTTTATGAAATATACAAGAAAGTCTTTCTCCCTGATGTTCTGTCTACACCATAACTCTATTCTCCAGCAATTCCATTATTTAACAATTTCACAAAGCAATGCATTTACTTAAAATGCTTCAGTAGTATTGGTGAATTTATCATTTCCCTCCTATGGAAACACTGTCTTTCTAATTCCAAATTAGAATATTCTTTATTTCCTCTTATCCAAGGTAACCAACCATCCCATTTTGTCAGAGACTGAGAAGTTTCCTAGATGTGGGACTTGAGGTGCTAAAACAGCTGGTCACCCTACAGCTCAATTTGGTTTTTTTTTTTGAGATGAAGTCTCGCTCTGTCGCCCAGGTCGGAGTACAGTGGCACTATCTCAGCTCACTGCAACCTCTGCCTCCCAGATTGAAGCGATTCTCATGCCTCAATCTCCTGAGTAGCTGGGATTACAGGTGCCCATTACCACGCTCGGCTAATTTTTGTATTTTTAGTAGAGCTGGGTTTCACCATGTTGACCCGGCTGGTCTTCAACTGCTGACCTCAAGTGATCCACCTACCTTGGCCTCCCAAAGTGCTGGGATTACAGGCGTGAGCCACTGCACCCGGCCTTACAGCTCAATTATTGTTCCTCCTTAGTATCTTTACTGGGTTCTCTTCTTCCTGACTTCTAAACGTTTGGATCTGCCCAGTAATAATACTTGAATCATTTCTGCCTGAGCTCCAGATTTTATATGCAAATACATACTTGACACTTCCTCTTCAACTTCTGACAAGCATCTTAAAACTTAACATGAATAAAACCAAATTCTCCCTGCCAAATGACTTTCTTTCTCATTTGGGCGATGTAACACTGGCATCATCCTTGACTCCTCTTTCCTTCATTATACATACCAACAGTCTGGCTGGCTTTACCTAGATCCAGCTAGTTCTCATCATTTCAACCACTAGATACCCGGCCACCATCATCTTTTACTTGGATTACTGCAATAGCCTCCTAACCAGTCTGCCTGTTTCTCCTCTTATCCTCCAAAAGTCAATTCCCCACACAGCAGCCAGGGTGATCTTTTAAAACATAAATCGTGTTTCAAAATGATACAGGAAGGGGGA